>NC_000015.10:21242090-21420894 GCF_000001405.40 Homo sapiens
GAATTCTTTGTCTGACAAAATTACCAATGGTGCTTACATAAGCAATAGCCTACAAAATTCAAAGCAAACCTTAGTACATAATTTTCACTGAAAATTTTATGAAAGATGGTGGAAATTGATCTAAATAAATAGCTGAGTTAATAAAGGAGGGGAACCAAAACAAACATTTGAGTTTAAAAAGTAAAGATTGAGTATTCATATTTAAAGGAGTATCAGTGAAAATAATATAGTACTTTAAATTAAAAATATTTTATTTGTAAAGGAATAAAATTAAAATAAGAGATCAATAGTTATTTAAAACTTCAGCCAGCTCCTTCACTAAATATAATTTCACATAGCTTATCTTATACATTCTATTTTTATTCAGTAGTAATGATTTCAAGAACATGATCTGATAACATTGTACTCTCACACTTAAAACTCTAAAATAAAATACAGTCAGATCCTGTTAATAGATAAACATACTATGTGACCAGACTGTAGCTCATAAAAATTATTCATCATGTCCTTATAAAGAACATTAACCTGTATTATAAAATCAGGCTGACCATTATAAACATATCCACTTGATGAATTCATAATATAGAAACAAGTTTGGAACTTGGACCATGATATTAAAAGGTATACTAAAAGCATCACAAGGCCTTCCACATTACTTAAAAAAAAATGGGGGGGCCTGCTGTTTTCACATAACAATTAATGCTGTTGGGTGGCAGATTTTCATTCTAAAATTATTCTTTAGAAAATATTTTATTGTCTTTTTATTGATCTCCTCAAAATCCTACTATTCTGGATTATAAATAGTGTATAAATGTATAAATGAATATTCTCTTCAACAGCATGTTACCTTTACCTCTTAGAAGTACTTATTCCTCCTTCCTTGTATTATTGTTAGTAAAAAAAAAATCTCTCTTTCGTAATATAAGAAAGAATATTATCTTATTCATCTTTTGTCTTCCTGATCCCTACCCTAATTTCTCAGGGAACATTTAACTGAATTAATGTCAAATTCAAAAATGGAGTAAGAATAGAATAGGTAGGAAAAAACAAAGCCTGGGAAGAGAAGAAAGAAGATTCTAACTCTGCTTTTAAATGTATTTCATTTGATTAACAGTTTCAAAATATTTTTATATTTTGGTATTTGTTTTCATTTTCTCAAGTAAAACTACTTTAAAAACAGATCTACACTTGGATAATTTATAGTTATAAATCTGTAACCTTTAGATGGAACAATTTAAATCTCATAGAAAATGTAAGCCCTGGAATTTGATCTATATATTAATTTTATGTGGTGACAGAATACATAATTTTTAAGAAGTACTATAATGTGACATGGCTAACCATATTTGGAAATAATACCTGAGAAGTTATAAAAATAGTTGCATTATAGCATCCAATCCAGAATTAACTAAACCAAATAGGAGCACTGGCGGTTACAAAGAGAAACTTCTGTTCAATAAAGAGAGATTGTTCCAACATTTAGATTAGCCTATAATGGAACAGGTTATCAGAAATGTTCATTTTTATTGTAGAAAGCATTATACATACACACACATATACCCATAACATGTATGATTATATATTCAATAAATTGTGTAAAACTATTTTAATTGTAGAGGTACACCATAGTCTATTATCCATTCTGCTCCTCCCAGGACTCCAAGGTTGTGCTCCAAATAGCCTAATCCAACCAGATTAATCATTTGTTGTTGTTTTGGTGGAGTGATGGGGAGGGTGGCAGGCAATGATTAGTTCAGAGACTCAGTATCAAAGTGTAGCATAGCAACAATTGATTCAAAAGAAGGCCAGCCAAGCTCTAAGCTAACCAATCAAATTGGAGAGAAGAATCTTGCTCAGTAATTGACAGAAAGGAGCTTGCTTTCTTCACCTGGATGTGAAGGTCTATAGCACTAATTCTCTCTGGCAGCCTTGTGACCTCAAACAGTATCAGCTTTAGCATAAAATCAACACTGTAGCTGGTACAGCAGAGATATAGATAAAACCTGGGTCTCTGATGACATTATTGAGACTCAGATAACCCAGCCCTGAAACACAACTTATGTTTGCTGCTTTTCCAACCTTTTGCTGCCTTTCCAACCTCCCTGTCCTGTTTTAATGCTTGAGACGCTCCCTTGCCTACTGGTTTCCAGTTGAGTTTGACTAATTGAAGACATTAGCAAGAAATTAAGGGACAGAAAGAAAATGAAGTTGGGTATACATTTTCCAGATTTTACCCCTTCAGTACACTTACACTATACTCCTTTCTTGAAGACCACAGTCCCATCAGGCACCCTTCTTCTATAGCTACAATAACTTTCTCTTTGGGTTATGCTAAACACTTATTCCCCTCATCTCTTCAAATCTTCCCAAGCTCCCTGCTTTCAACTTTTTGAATACCCTTGCATTAAACTCTTCTCAAAAACCTAGGTTGAGTACGCCATCTGTTTCCTGCCAAGAATATAACTGATATGCCATCTAACACTAGACTTTGTTACATTAGTATATTTTCTTAATGTTTAAGATACTTTGAATCAAATTTTCTACTAACCACAATCAAAAATATCCTATTGAATATACTGGATAACCTCTAAGTTTTCCACAAGATCATATTTTGGCAAAACAAAACAAAAACACCTTAAAATTTTTTCATGGAACAGTAAAATTGTTATTAATAAAAGGCCTCGCATATACTATCTTCCTAAGATATCTTCTATGACAAGGAGATATAAAAGCTAAGTGGCAGTTAACCAGTAACCTGTTATTAAGTTAAGAAATTAAAAAATCAAACTTCTATTACCTATACTATTAATACTAACCTGGCCACTGATTATTTAAAAATAACACAATATGAGCATTCCTCTGAGAAAGGTAAAAAAGTTACTGTTTCTTAGGTAATCAGACAAGCATGCAAGGACTTTTCATATACTCAATTCAACAACTATTTACTGAGCCCAGCACTGTGCTAGGTGCTGAAGATATAACAATAAGGGGAGACAAAAAAAATATATACATACATATACACATACATATATATATATATACACATACATATATATATATATATACACATACATATATATATATATACACACATACATATATATATATATATATATATATATATATATACACACACACATACATATATATATGTATATATTGCCCCTGCTTTCATGAAGCCTACATTCTAGCAGGAGGAGGCAGAAAATTGGTAAAAAATATAAAACACGCCAGAATGGTGCTGTAAAATTAGCAGAGTAGGTAAACACTGATGGTTATGGAAGGGATACTAATTTATTTAGAATGATTGGAGAATATTTCTGTGATAAGGCATCATACAAGCAAAATCCTGAATGAAGCATAGAATCAAATTCTGTGAGTATCTGAAGAAAAAGTGATGGAAACAATGGGGGAAGTAAATGCAAAAGTCCTTGGGTAAATTCTTATCATTTTAGTTCTTAAGGGAAAGGCAAAAAGACCTTTGCCTAAAACAGAGAAAGCAAGAGAGTGGGGAGAGATGATGTGAGGTGTAAGGCTTATGACTTCATTATGAGAAGGATGAAGACTTGAATAAGATTTGGCACATTTTAGGACAACTAGTCTAACTGCAAGTGAAAAACGGACTGTAGGTAACCAATGGTGAAGGATGATCATGGTTTGAACTAAAATGGTATCAACGGACATAGTAAGGAGTTGAGAAATAATGAGGAAGTAGTAATTGATTCTGGATATGTTCTGAGAGTAAAACAACATAATTTCCTGAGAGTTTGGATCTAGAGTGCAACAAAAGTAGAGTCAAAAACAATTAACTTTTTGGTTTCAACTACTTGTTGAATGGTAATGCCACTAAATAAGACAAACAACTCTGAAGGATGAAAAATTTGAGAGAAAAATCAGTTTGGATAATTTAGTCAAGAAGATTACTAGAAATCCAAGTGGAACTAAAAATAGGAGAAACAATTGAGGGTAATTAGTATTTACAGGATCACGGGAGCTGTAGAAGTGGATAATCTCAATTAGAGTAAGGTACTGTGTAGATGGAAAAGTGAAATGCTTTCCAGGATTAATCACTGGGAAAGAAGAGTCATCAGAGTTTATAAAGATGAAGGAGAACTAATGAGAGAGAATAAGTAAGAGAAAAACAAAGCAAACCATGGCAAAACACAATGCAAGAAAGCATTTCAAGAAGGAAAGACTGTTCAACCGAAATATTCACAGGTCGAATAAGATAAGGACTGAGAAATAATCACAGGACAGACTGTGAAGGCCACTGGTGACAAAGACATGAGCCATCTGAAAGGACATGGAAGAACGAAAGACAGGTTGGAATAGGAATAGATTTAGGAGTAAGTGAGTGTCCAGGAATATAAGGAAGGTTTAAAATCTGAAAAATAATCAATGTAATTCACTAAGAAAAATGAGAAACATCATACTCATCTCAAATACTGCAGAAAAGATGTTTGATAAAATCCTGTTTATAATAAAGAAAACTCTTAGAAAAATAGAAATAGATAATTCCTTAATTTAACTAAAAAATCTACAAAAACTAATTATTAAAAATATCATACTTAGTGGCTAATTATTAACAGCATTGCCCATGAGATCAGGAATAAGACAGGGATGGCCACTATCACAACTTTTATTCAACACTGTACTGGCAGTCTTTAGGTGGCATAACAAGGCAAGGAAAAAAATAAAAAAATAAATATTAGAAAGGAAAAAACAAAACTATCATTCTCCGATGTTATTATTGTCTACAAAATTTTTTTTGAAAAAATCTACAAATGACTAGATTTAATAGAGGAATAGAAAGATTGGTATATAAAAGTTCAACATAAATATCAATTATAATTCTATGTACCAGTAACAAATTAAAAATCAAAACTTTTAATTGCTTCTTGGCCTTTTGGGTAAGATCAAGTGCAAAGAATTAAAATTTTAAGGGCATCAAATAATATCAAATATCTGCAAATAAATCCATCAAAAAGACAGAAACTGTTCTATACAGAAAACTACAGAAGAAAATCTAAATTAATAAAAGAATATACCAAGTATATGACTTGAAAGATTCAATATAGGAAAGATGTCAATATAATACAATAAAAATCCTCATGTTTTTTGGTGGAAGTTGATAAGCTGACATATATGGAAATGCAAAGACTCAGAAATGGCCAAGGCAATCGTCAAGAACAACAGTAAAGCTAGATGACATACTCTTAAATATCAGGCTGCACTAAAAAGCTATACAAATTAAAATACTGTTGGAATATTACTTAGCAATAAAAAGGAATGAAAAAAATATGCTATAACATGGATGCACACTGAAAACATTATGCTAAGCAAAATGGACCAAATACAAAAAGACAAATATTGTATGATCCCACTTACATGAAATATTTAGAATAAGCAATTCATAAAGCCAAAAAGTGAATTATGGATTGACTAGGGGTGGGAATCATGAAGAGATATAGGGAAAATTGGTAAAGGAAATGAATAACAAAGAAGATAAAATATTCATTTTCCATAATTATATATGAAAATGTCTAATCTTATTCAAAATCTAGGAAAAGTGCAAATTAAAACCACAATGAAATAATATTTTGCATCCACTAAATTGACATTATAATATGAAATATTAACATACATTTTTATTTGAAGGCTTTTACAAATATTTCTAATTATAAGCTAAGTTTTAAGTAAAAGAATGTTTAATTTAGGATTTTCTGATACATTCTCAAGTAAACAAATGAAAGCACATTTAAAGGGGTAAGTCCTCACAGAAATCCTGTCACACACAGTAATCTTACAAAGGCATTTCATATGTTATAAAATTCATGTTAAATGTAGCTTATCATACATCTTCTAAACAATTCTTAATACTCTAGATACAGAAAAAGAGTATTCTCTTATTTTAAAAAATAAACCAAAGAGCCTTAAGTTCTTAATAATGTTATGGAAAAAATCATCTCAATAAAGAAATGCTACCAATGATCAATCTTAACAATCTACCACTCTTCAATGCTTAATCCTTAAGGAAAGGTCAGCACTAGTTTCAAAGACATATTTTTTATATATATAACATATATAGGTATAAAGACATGTAATATATAAAATATAGCATATTTTAGAACTTGACTCTTTTTGTGACTAAATAATATTCAATTGCATGTATATACTACATTTTGTTTGTCCATTAATCAACTGATAACATTTCAAATGTAAAACAATTGGAGGTAAAATTAAAACTGCTTCAAAGTATCTTCTCAATTTTTTTCCAGAGGAAATGTATGTTTATCCCTTAGTTGAGATCTCACTTCTATTACTTTTCAAATAGTCTCATTTTCAGAGCAGCTGAATATTATAGAGTTAACTAACTGATAAGAGGTTTGAGAGTGCTAATAAAGGGCACAGGTATTTGTTATTAAAAAAAACAGCAACATGCTGGCTGGACGCAGTGGCTCACGCCTGTAATCCCAGCACTTTGGGAGGCTGAGGCGGGCGGATCACGAGGTCCGGAGATCGAGACTATCCTGGCTAACACGGTGAAACCCTGTTTCTACTAAAAACACAAAAAAATTAGCTGGGCGTGGTGGCAGGCGCCTGTAGTCCCAGCTACTCGGGAGGCTGAGGCAGGAGAATGGCGTGAACCCGGAAGGCGGAGGTTGCATGCAGTGAGCCGAGATCGCGCCACTGCACTCCAGCCCAGGCGACAGCGAGACTCTGTCTCAAAAAAATAAATAAATAAATAAAAAATAAAAAATAAAAAAACGCTTATTCATGAAATCTCACTAATTTTAAAGGAAATCACATGATACAACTAAACTCTTGTGAGATCATAATCAGAAATTCAGCACTCATAAAAGCACAGCTGTGACTAAAGCAAAAGAGGTCATAAAACAACATAAATGACACAAAATAGGAAAATGTAAACCCATCTAATTTTTATTGTTTATACTATGTATAGATGAGAAAAACTACTTTAAATAGTCATATATATTAAGAGTAGGGAAAAAGAGCACAAAATAATGTTTCTATTACTACAAAATAAAAATTTTGACCGCATAATTAAAAAATAACACAAAACCTAACAGGTAAATCCATGTATACTAAATATAAAGATTTTTATCTTAATAAAAAAGACTTTCAAGAAACAGTCTAAGGCCAGGCGCAGTGGTTCATGCTTGTAATCCCAGCACTTTGGGAGGCCGAGGTGGGCAGATCACTTGAGATCAGGAGTTCAAGACCAGCCTGGCCAACGTGGGGAAAACCCTGTTTCTACTAAAAATACAAAACTTTAGCTAGGCATGGTGGTACGCACCTGTGATCCCAGATACTAGGGAGGCTTAGGCAGGAGAATTGCTTGATTGAACTCGGGAGGTGGGGGTTGCAGTGAGCCAAGATCGCACCACTGCACTCTAGTGTGGGAGACAGAGTGAGACACTGTCTCAAAAAAAATAAAAAATAAAAAAAAAGTCTAAGTGAAAAGATAGCAAAGAAACAACTACAGTACTCACTTCTTATCCGGAGGCGATGCTTCCAAGACCCCTAGTGGATGATATATACGATTTTCAGTCTGAGAACTGAGATAGCTACTAAATGACTAATAGGAAGACAGTGTATACTGCATGAAAAAGCTGAGCAAAAGGAGGATTCATGTCCGGACTTGATGAAGAGGGACAGTACGAGATTTCATCACTCTACTCAGAACAGCACACAATTTAAAAGTTATAAATTGTTTATTCCATTTAATATTTTTGAACTGCAGTTGTCCATGGGTAAGTGACACCTTAGAAAGAGAGAGTAGAAATAAAGGGGCACTACTATAGAAAAACTTAAGAGAAATGATACTTATTGCTTGAATAGATATAGATGAAATTTTTTTCTTTAGTTTTTTAATTCAAAATTTAATTATGCTTCCAATACCCAGTTAATTCCATGTCTACACTTAAATCTAAGGTGTTTGTGAATTAGCAAATAGTATAATCTCTACACAGTCAATGGAAAGTGAAATTATAGAAAAAATATAATTAGTGATTGTCAGCTGTCCAACTGTGAGGCTACACAATAAAACCATCAACACATCACCTACCTTTTCAAGTAATTAGCCAATAACTAAAAAGCCTTTTCCACCCAGCACCTGTTCTTGCATGGCTACTGAACTTTTAAGTAGTTCAACCAGGAATGCCGAAAGAGTAGCACTGCATGTAAAGTACAGATATCATTATGTAATCATCACGTTTATTCTAAACACAGTGTTCCAATTTCAGTATTTTATTATGCCAAGAGATAACCATATTCAAATCTAATCTCTATTTTATTGACAATGACTATTATGCCTTATATTATGAAAGAATATATTTCCTGATAAGCATGAGAAAACTATTGTCCTTTACAAATTAAATATAATAAACTGAATCATAACTGTGTAGTTTTTTTACATTCCAAAGTAAAACATCAAAGTTTATCTCTACATATATTTATAGGTCTGGCTTCAAGTAAACCTAAGAAACATACACACATCATTTTCCATAATAAAGACTGTATCATACTATTATTTTGAATAACAAGCTATTGTAGAGAATTTTAAATATAGATGCAATATTGCTTTGTAAGAACAAGCCCTATTTTTAAATAAACTTTTCATTTAGAACTATTCTTCAAAAACACTTTGTTAAAAAAAATCCAGAGGAATATGTAACATGTCACTTATGTCCAGGTATGCCCTAAGAAAAGCTCATGAGAGCAAAGAAATGATTTATGTAATATTGAAATGAAAAGTGACAATTACACAGTATATAAACAAATACATAAAGGCAGACAGAGGCGTCAAAGATTTAGCACTTGGTATGTCTTTGGAATGAATGAAGAAACAAAATAGAAAATGACTGCATTGAATTAAGCTTTGATAATATATTACTTCATAGTTACATATAATGATTTTAACCAGCAACACTGATATATGAATATAGTATTCTGAATAATGGAAATACATATTCCTTCACTGTATATGCTTAATGTAGCTCATAATAAATTGTTATATACCAGATTTTATCAACAATTAAAAGAATATCAATTTACAATGTTTTATAATATACCCTAAATTACCTATTTATATTCATAAGAAAGGGTAAAACCACAAATTTCTAAACATATTTTAAATGCAGAAGTACTCATTCTTACAAGTAATTCAGACAATTTGGTAATAAGGAAAACTTGAAAATTATTAAAGCCCGAAAGGAATCTGAAGTTATTCTAATTTTTGAATTATTCTAGCTCTTCCAGTTTCAATAGGGATAATGTATTTTTCTCATAATGTGGCTACTTTTGTTCAAATCAGAAATGTTCTCATAACAAGAACCAACAGCAAAATTATCATTGTCATTATTATAAAAATTGATAGTTTAATGAATTACATATCAGCTAGACAAAATATAGTATCCAGAAATAAAGCACTTCATTATAGGAAATTAAAATTCAATTATATTAACTGACCCTATATCCTTAAACCACAAAAAATGTAAACTATCACATATCAATGATTTTTTTTACTTTGTCCTTAAGCCAAAGATAGACACTTACAAGAAAACTACAACTACCAATGAGTCTCTTGGGATTTTAAAAAACGTTTCTGTAAAGAAGCACAGCTATTAAGCAATCTAGTCCATTTTAAATGAATTGAATAGTCAAGGCCACTTCACAAATAATTGCTAAGTACTATATTACACATAACACATCTGCCTAGATGTGTAAAAAGAATAAAGAAAACCATGCATAGAGATTACACAATTTCCTAATCTGTTCATAGAATTCTTACATACACCAAAGTTAGTGATTGAGGGAAAATGGATTCCTAAACATGAGCACTGCCAAAAAGACAGACTAGAAATGCCTCACAGTGGTCCTTATGATCCATGAAAAAAGGCAAAAAAGTATTTTACAGTAAATCACCCTACTATATAGAACCATATACAATTGCAAGGATGACACAGATTTTCTCATTCTTTTATGTCAGAATAACTACTCATTCTCAAATATCTAATGAGTTAACTCAGACCTCTAAACACAGTGGAGCTCTATTATAAAAACTGAAATATTAATATTATTATTCCAAAATCTTAACAAGACTCTGCTATCCATGAAGTATTAATTTCACTTCAACATTAACTAGGACACCAATTGAAATGTCAAATGCATTCACTAACAAAGGTAGTTTCAATTTATACCTAAAACCCAATGCAATAGCAATACCACATCTTTGCAAAAAAAAAAAAAATCTTTACAATAAGGTATAATTGACATGGTGGACGTAATAGTAAATAGATGGCCATCTTTGAAGAGGTACATTTTCAAACATAATTCAACAAACTTACCAGTAACTAAAATGCATCGGATTGTTGCAAGGCTCACAATAAACTTGCAAAATTCTGTGTACTGCCATACAAAATTTCTCTCCATTCTTGCCTATTTCCAACTTCCCTAGATACAAAGGCAAATATAAAAGATACTTCAGCCCATTCCTATATCTCCTACATACAACTTCCTCTCTAGAACGCATCAGTTCATCTGCAGAGGATCTAAATATATACTCTAGGATAAACCAAAAAGCAAGTATCGTTGTCAGCCAAAACTAATACAACATAGAACACTCTCTTGAAAACTATATCAATACCTAGGAAAAGATTTTCAGAGGAGTATTTTATTTTATAGACCAAAAGTATGCTGATTATTATGTCATGATATATAATTGCTCAACTTTTCAACAGACAGTACTATAACACATGTTCTATAAGTAGCAATTCTACTTCAGGAATGGATGAGAGTTTGTAATCCTGTATCTTTTTAAGGAAAATGATGCTAATAATCTAGTGGGTGTTTTTTCTTAAAAATAATTACCATCTTGTAATTCTTAATAAGCTTAATTTAAGTTAGAAAATAATGTTTATTTCAAGTATCAGATCGTAAAGGGTTAGACCATGGGAAAAAAATGAAAGAAATAGCATAATAATACCTCTTATAAATTAGCATATTTATTATTTCTCCAGAGCTTTTTGGCCTTTATTGATAAAGAATGCCACAACAGTCTTGGCCCACAAATACCTGAGAATATTTATTAACTATGTATAAAAACATAACTAACCTGTTTATAATATACATATATTTATATGCCATTAAAATTTAAATATAGATTTTGACTTATTTTACTATAACTTTATCCATTTCAATTTGTATTTAATTTTTTAAAATAACTAATGTAGATAACTCATGTAATGTGATCCATGAAGTTTTATTATTTTTGAGGTACTTTTATTATTTAGAATTCAATATATCATAAAGATACACCTAATTCATAACTAAAATGATTAAGAGTGAATATATAAACCTAAGTTCTGTTCAAAGGTAGCTCTCTGAAGACATAAACTGGCTATTCAATTTGGTTTTTACTGAAAAAGCAAAGTACCACAGCTAGATTGGCTTTTTAAATAAAGATCTTTTTATTAAGAAGACTGGAAATAACTTACGTAAAAAGTAAAGATTCCCCCCCTAAAATCCAATACCTCCTCCACTTTTAAAAGAATGTTGCAAAGTAATCAAGTAGATTAAGTTTCAAATCGGATTTACGGTTATCAGTAAGGGGGAAAAAATCTTTTGACATTTTCAAAAGGTTTCATCTCTTAAGCCTAATTTAGGACTGAATTACAGTGAAATATTTTAAAAGATGATTAAAATTACGTAAAATATTTAATATCATAGTTTCTATAGTATTTCTCTCACTACAAAACTCTTCCTAAATAAGAGTGATCATAGCAGAAATTGACTTCACTGTACATTAATCAATTCAATTCCACACCCAAAACAATTTTGCATCCAAGATAATTTTCAGTGACACAAAAAAACTCACAGTAAGTTCTAAGAGTTAATTTCCTTCACAGTTCAACATTAGAAAGGGCTAAACCATATGCTACAATAGACCTCATGTGATATTTCCAACATGTGGGTTATCTTAGAGTTGGTCTATGATGATTTTCTCTTCCCTTGAGAATAAGTCACATTTTCCTGACCATTTTTAGAATAAGTACTTTTGGATTATATGCTAAATAGTGTGACTATTACTCTGTACAATACTGTAGAGAAACTTTCTGGCCAGAAAGTTTCCTATAAAAGCAAAAAATGGGGATATCAGTCCATGCAGACTGACTGTTCCATATTTTGACTACCCTCGCCTGCTTTTATTCAATCTTCACAATCCTCAGATAGATGTTATCTATATTATGTGCAGAGTTTACAAATGGTTATTTTTGAGAAGATCAGTTTGTTAGGAGCTCACCCCTCTATACAAGTATCAGAAATCCTCTGAAGTGATCTTTAATTTTGGAGGTTGTGTTATACTTTTTCTCTTATCAGTTAGAACTTCTTTATGATATAGCAAATTATAAAAACTATTATACTATCATATTCATAAATGAAGGAGAGAACTCAAAGCTAAATTTTCAAATATCTGGCCATGAAGACTAACTGCTTGCCACACGGGATTAACAGAACAATGAGAAAATGTCTAGTAATAATTATAAAATATAAAAACTTTGTTAAAATCTGATTTGCAAGCTTATGTCAAAGGGCCACCTCATACACAATCTTGAAGACATTAAATAACCCCAAATAGCCACTGTAAACTTACCTGGCAGTAAATTTTACTATACTAGACAAATCTACAGTGAGATTTTCTGTTATTTTAAATATTTTCTGTATTTCTGTATTTTCCAAAATGAACGGTTTATTTAGTTAATAAGTGATACCCTAACTTATTTACTGTTTCCAGAAAATAACCAAGTACAGAATATATACTGATAAGCTGCAATGCTCAAAACCAAATATCAACAGAAAAAAATTTACCTAGCACTACAGTGACCAACAGGTCAAAATCATTTGTGACAGGCTCCATTGAATATATAGTTTGATGGCATTATTTGAAGGTAGAATTAACTTATTTTATTAATTTTGAAGCCCATATGTTGACATGCTATCTACACTAAGCTCAGAATCATAAATATTGTCTGACCATTACAATGAAAGTTCCATATAACTGAAGGCAATAAATATAAATACTGTTATTATACAACACTAAGTAATTTAAACTCCATTTTGTGATTTATCCAAATGTCCATTAGTTAATTATATTCTCTACACCTTAAAAGTTCCGCTGTAGCCCTCTACCCCGCTTCACTCACAGAGAGTGACTTTAGCAAGATAATTTTGACTATGTGTGAACTACTCAGCTTTTCTTCTGTCAAAACACAATCTGATCATTTGCATTCCTCCTTCTCTATGTTCTCTGAATTTCTAAAAAAAAAAAAAAAGGTTTTTAATATAAAAAATTTTTGCTGATGCCTGTCATGGTGCAATTGTACTTATACTATTTACAAATTGAGGAAATGCATGTACCTTTGGCTTTATCAACCCCCACTAACAACAAGGGGTGCAGTGAGCTGAGAACTTTCAAAACTTAAAAAAATACTCTCTGATGTAATGCCCAAATTTACAGGTATCTCTCTTAAAAGTTCTGACTTTAGGTACTCTACACTGTGTGTTAGGATATTAAGGATACACTACGTCACATGAGCTGTGCACGTATGATGACCGGGGTTACTGCTCATTATCACTGTTGTTAAAAAGAATGACGAGAAAGACGTGTGAAAAGAATACTACAAACTACAGAGATTGCAAAGCTGTTCAGGACAAAGTTTGCTTCTCTGTGAATAGAAGAATTACAAAATTGCTTATATTCAGCCCTTTTCCTTGATGTTGCCAGGAAGCTCCCATCAATTCTGAGATTTCACATTAGCAATCATATTGGATTTGTATCTTCTTGATACTCTACCTTTTTATATTTCATTTGTTTGCTTGTCACTCTATTTAATATCATTCTATTAGAGCTTAAAAAGATACTGCAAGCATTTTATGAAACAACTCAAAGAAGTAGAAAAGAAAAGCAGGCAGCATATTAATAAAAAATGTGAATTACAAAAATATTCCTATGCAAGATCAGCAATGGCAGAACCAGGATGCAAACTCGACAAAAAGACCCATGAAAGAAAAAGTAGCTGGACAAGCACAAATTCATTTCTAGAGCTAGTAGGACAAAAACAAAAATGATATGGAAAATATATGATAGCAAGTATTGTTACCTTGACATAAAAATAATAGCATTATTATCCTTCAATATTATCATGGTTATTAAAGTCACTGAGAAAAAAAGATCTTTTAATATGGGTAAATTCAAACTTTCCTCTCTCGCTCTCTCTATATATATATCCGTGTGTGTGTGTGTGTGTGTGTGTGTATATATATATATATATATGACAAAAATAAAAACAGAAATACCAATGCAAAAATACAGAGGCCAAAGAGGGAATTTTTTTATGTTTTTCCTTTCCATTACACAATCTTCACATTAATTAAATTGAGTTCAATAAAAAAACCACACTTCCGTACAAGACAAGTACTCCTTCAGAATTATAAACACTTTGACTATAATGTGTAATTCTCTTTCAGCTCTAAGTAGTTTGAGACTTCACAATTCCCAGTGTGATTTAAACAGAACCCTAATATGTTCCCCTAGCCAGGTGTACCGCACATTTAAAACTAACTCATATATGTGCATGCTATATCTTACCTAGTCTTTGTTCTTAAAGTTTAAAAAACAGAAAGAATGATAAATTACATTAATTAGTTTTGCTAAATTAGTTTACTCACTACTGTACCTACTTCCTCACTGCAATTAAAGCAAAAATATAAACTAAAATTAAATAATTTCAGGCCCATGAAATATATTATCTTAGATTCCTTCTAAATCTTTAACTCTTCTTTCCAAGTTACCAGTAATATTAACAAGTTCTTTATTATGTTCATTATGTAATATATATTTCAAATTTTTGTATTTTAAATACTACATTAAGCAAAACAGTTTTATAAGATTATTTCAGAATTGTTAAAAGGCATGCTATCAATATTAGAAAATATTCTGAAGAATAAAAAAGTTTATAAAAAAAGTTGAGAAAAAAGCACCTTTGAACCGAAAAGAAACATATAATAAAAACTGACTACATTCCAAAAAATAGAAATGACTCTTAAACTGTATTAAAGAAAGATTTTCACTAAAAGTTATATTACATCACATTTTACATCTAAAACGCTCTCTAGAATTTATAAAATTACAGTTATTACTACCTTATATCTAGGTCCTAACTGATGAATTGCAAATATCTGTGCTGGGTTGAGTGCTTCACTGAATGGCAACAGGTTTAGCACAGAATACGCTATTTGCATCAGCAGTTTCTGATGAACCACGAAAGCACTTGTCATAGCTCTATTTTTAAAAGTCATTAAAAATGCATTATTTTTAATGATGAAAAGGTTTAAATCCTTAAATCGGCCTTTAGGAATATTTTAAAATATAACAATAATAATAGAAGAAAGCATCAATTAAGACTTTATTATTTAAATAATAAATGCCAGTCAAGTTTTTTGGGAAAAATGACCAATTACATGTTTTACACTTACATTTAAGCAAACAAAACAATAGCCACCTACTCAGTCTTCCGACTTACTTTTCAAATATTATAGTTAAAGGCAAAAGAGCTTATATTTATTTATTTACAAACGTTAAAATAATTTAAAACTGTCATGATGTATAATGATCCATATATAGAGAGATTGATCTGAATCAAGGGAATGACTATTCCAAAATGTAATCATGAAAACATAGGGTCTAATTTTTTAAATTCAACTTTATTTTTGAAATTATGAATCTATTCCTCTATTCCTCCATATTTAGTAAAACACACAAAGAAAATAAATCCCCGCTCGTGTGTGAGTAGGAACTACACAGAACGAAACACACAATAAGACTATAATCTGCTGCTTAAAGCAGATGGTACAGTGCTCTCCACATTGAGGAATTCAGCACTGAAGAAGCCAAAAGCTTAAGATCTTTCCAGCCTCTACATCTTACACCCCACCCACCCAAACCAGGGAAAGCAGTCATGGCTCAGTTCCCTTCCCCTATCCTCAAAGGCTATTTCACACCTTAGAATGAATAAGCAAGAATCATATATGTAAGAAGTACTTTTGGTCCTTCAATAAAGTAACAAAAAGAATTGTGAATGCATACAAAGGCAAAAAGAACTGTCGTCATTAAATACCCAATCTTTAATTAGAAGTATAGGAACTTAAACTTTAACTGCATAAAGTATGTGTCATTATCTAGAATTCTCCACTTCTTAGGGCACTATTACAAATAACCAAAAAACGAAGTCTTTTCTTTCCAAGATACTGTCTTCTCATTGAATGAGTCAAGACGACCACTGGGATTTCTTCCACTCTATAATAAAAAGACTCTGCAGAGATCTCCTCTGGAGAGAAGATAAAAAGCAGAATTTCATCTGTCTATTCTAATTCTGAAAACAACATTCTATTAAATATTAATTGGTTGTGGCACAACCATGAGTTTCTACGGCAGGGAAAAGCAACTTTTTCTATAAAGGGACAGACAGAAAATATTTTAAACTTTGCTTGCCACACCTGGTTTCTGTCCCATTCTTCTTTGATTTTGTTTGTGTCTCAAGAAACAAACAAACAAAAAACCTTTAAAAATTAAAAGCCAAGATTCTTAGGCCCCAGCTTACACAAAACCAGAAACAGGGGGAGGGTCAGATTTGGCTCATAGGGTGTAGTCTGCCAAGCCCCGATCTAGGGGACAAACTGTGGACCATACACACAGTGCTAGTTAAACGAATACAAGACACGATAAGCAAATCCCTGCCCTTTGGGAAATTAAAGCCTAGAGAGAGATGCAAACAAAACTGAGAAATGAATTGTGTTTAAGAGGTAAGTTCTTATAAAACCAGGTATGCTTGAAGGGTTGTATATTATTGAGCTTGGAAGTACTTTCAGCATTAAAACAAACCTTTTACTTTGACTCTGACAGGCCAGAATGTAGACAATGGAAAGCCCCAAGTAGAGAAACCGTAAGGACCCTTGAGGTTTTAATTCAAGTTGTTCTCTACCTAGAATCCAACTGTGTCACTTCTTCCACTGCTAACATACTGGTAGAAACTCATATAATCTCTTTATTTTATTGCAATAAGCCATTTAAGTGATCTTCCTGCTTCTGTAATTTCCCTTCAAAATATTCTCAATACTGCAGGCAGACTGATGTTTTTAAAATATAAGCACACATCACTTGTCTGCTGAAAACCTTCCAAGGATTTTTAAGCTGAGTAAGATGCGAAAGCCCAGGCCTTACGTTTGCTTATGAAGGCCAAAATGATTTCTGCCTAACCTCATCTCTTATTATTCTGCCTCTACCTCCCTCTGCTCCAGACAAACTGCCTTTTCCTTGAACTTTCCTATTCCGCCTCAAAGCCTTTGCACTCACTGTTCCCACTGAATAGAAGAAGTTCCCCACATACCTCGCTTGCTCAACTCTTCCTACTAAAATCATCTCTGGACCATCCGGCTCCTCCCTTCCCTACAACTACACTTTCTGTATCCCCAATTTATTTTCTCCATAGCATTTATCACGATGTAATTAATAATAGTGACTATATGTTATCCTTCTGTTTAGGGTCTTCTTTCTGTATCTAAATAAGGGGTAAACCACATTTTTTAGTGCTTGATGCTGGAATAAATAGAATACAGGATTCACGGTTTTTTTAATCTAAAAAACTTAAAACTTTGGCCAAATGTTCCTGTTTTTGTATCACTAATCATGTCTTTTAACAATTTTCTTATACTAAATTTAACAATGAAAGATTCGTTTAATAAAAAAAAACTTTCAAAGTTTTAAGTTTCTACCAAACTATTTTATTATTCAATTCATATTGTAATGATAGCTCATACTCTCAAATTAAACCACAGACAGAAAAATAGACTTACATCATTTGTGTTAACATGCCAAGCCATATCACCATAAGATACCAGTTGTCCATTAACGTAACACTGAATTTCATTGTTCCTCCATCGATTGTAAATGTGGACAATGCTGATCATGTACCACTTACATAAAAAATTATATCAATATGTAATGTTTGGTTATTACGGTCTAAAATGCAATTATAACATTCATAAAACCCTAGAAGAATATGCTGACAGAACTATTAATGATCATCTAATACCACTTCCTCAAGCTCCCCCTCCCATCCCTCATTTCACAGATGGTAGAAGCGGCACATAAAGAATATTCATGGAGAAGACAAGAACTACAGCCCCTTGACCTCCAGAGTGATATTCTTTCCACTATACCAAGATTCAAAATTGTGGAAATACAATTTATTTATGTTCATTCATTTAAAATTTACATTGTGCCAGGCACTGCAGATACCCAAGGCTGACTAGTTCTCCTAGAAATTATGAGCTATAAAAGAAATACATATGACACAATTAAACAAGTGTAGAATTATAAATCATGGTGATTACAGGGAGGAGAAAGAAAACAAAAACAGGAGAAGAAACAAGAATACAAACATGAAATAGAAGCAGTAGCAAAAGAAAATGAAGAGGAACAAGAAAATGAGAAGAAAACACACAGCGGAAGAAAGGAAAAAGAACAGGTATGGGAATTAGAAGGCCTATAATACCTCTTATCCCCTTCTCGATTCATAAAATTTGAGTAACTCAAAGACTATCACAACAAAAAACAAGCAAAAGGATACACAAATAGTCATCCCCTAAATTTTGTTAAGAATGAGACAATGCTGCCACTCACGCCTAGCTCAGGCACCAGCAGGAGGGCACCCTCCAGAGATTGCAGGAGAAAGGGGGAGAACTCTTCTTTGCCCTAGGTATATCACCACCACTGCCACCGAAGCCTGTGTTACAGCACCCACAGGTTCCTCCCCACCCCAGAGTGGGATGGGCCCTGCAGTGCTCCTATTCCCCCTTCCCGGCCCCCAGACTTCCTACTGCTACCACCACTAGCGCCAATGCCAATACAACCACTGTCGCCCTCAATGTACCAGCCCACCCTACCAGCTCCTACCACCTGGCCCCCGTGGGTGCCCTCCTCCCGCTCCGGTCGATCTGTGGTCTCCATCGCCACCACCAACCGCATGAGGCAAGCTGCAGAACCACGTCATCTGCAGGCTCGACCCTACCACAGGCGACTCCTCGCCTTCTCCTCCTTCAGCCTGGCTTGGAGTAGCTGGGCAGGCAAAGCCAGAAAAGCCCAAATCAGGATTCAGACAGTGGAACCGTTAGAGCCTCACCTTGTCACGCTGGTGACTGGGTGGCAGGCATCAGTTTCATTGAAGGCACTCACATCCACCTTCCAAAGTCCAGCCTCTCCTTCTGGCAAAAGCTGGCCAGGAACTGGGGTCTGGGGTGGGAGTGAATGCCTTCACTGAAACCGGCCCCTGGCCAACTCCAGCTGACCAGGAATTGCTGGGCCCACCAGGGCTGCCCTCCTCAGGGAGCCCGAGTAGGAGAAACTCAGAACCAGCCAGCCCTCCCCACCCAAGGGCTGGTTCCCATTCCTGACGCCTCCACCCACAGTGCCCTGTCCCCTGCTTCCCCCGTGGGTGCCTATTACTCCCTGCCTGGTAGTCCCAGGTGGTCTCCGCAACACAGAGCATGAGGGCGTGCCGGGAAACCACAGTGGGTGTGGGAGCCCTGCCGTGCAATCTAGCACGAGCAGGAGAAGATCGCCTTCTAGAGTCTGGAGTCCGGGAATAGAAGAACGATCCCTTACCTGGAGACCACCAGAAGGAAAGAGGCGGCCACTACTGTCGCTGCCGCTGCCGCCACCTCAGCTCGCCAACACCGCTGGCAGTGTAGCCCCCACAGCACCCCTAATCTGACCCCTGCCACTAGCAGTGTAGCCCCCGGATAGCACATCCAACACACCCTAGTTTCAGGCAATGTAACCCCAATACCTCCCCCAAAGCACTCCCCCCACACTGCAGGGAGTGTACCACCCAACAGTGCCCCAAATCTGACCCAGCCACGGGAGTTGCTGCACTAGATACCATCCCAAACCCACCTCCTCCCACCCCGCCACGGACAGTTCAGCTCTTGATGGCGCACCACCCCGAGTCAGCACCCAACAACGCCCCAGGCAGTGCAGCATCCAACAACGTCCCTAAACCACCCCCGACTGCCAGCATTGTAGCCCTGGATAACTCCACCCAACCCACCCCCTGCCGCTGGCAGTGCAGCAGAAGATAGCGCCCCTAATCCTTCCCCAGCCACCGGCAGTATACGCTAGTGTACACAATCTGCTTTCCCCGACCACCCCTGCCACCGCAGGCAGTATAGCCCCAGATAGCCAGCCAACCTGCCCCACCACCAGCAATGCCACCCCGGAGAGTGCCCCCAACCAGACCACTGCCACAGGCAGGGTAGCCTCTAGCAGTGAGCCCCAGTAGGACACCCAACCCTTGCCCCCAGAGGCGTGCAGGGCAGCCCCGGGAAACTCACCTACCCCATCACATTTCTACCACTGTGACCGAGCTGCAGTCTCCGACGTCACCACCAACCACAGCGAGGCGAACCAACCAGAGCCAGGCCAGCCACGGTGGCACAGGTTCCAGCCTCCAGCATGTGGCAGTGCCTCTTCCTTCTCCTAGTCCTCCAGCCCAGCAGGAGAAGCTCCCGCTGCCGGGCGCTCTCCTACTGCTCTGTCGCCACCACCAACCACAGCGAAACAGTGTCCCACGCTCCAGGGCTCCAGACTCCATCCATCCTCCAGCTTCAAGCAGGAGAAAGGTTGCGGCCTCTTCCAGTTCTCTAAGCCGGTCACGGGGTAGCTCTTCCTCTAGACACAGAAGAGCTTGAAATGACCTGATACGACCTCAGCATGCTTTATATACCGAGGTTATGCAAATGCGTTTCCTGGACTACATGTTCTGATTGGATGAGAGAAAAAACCTCTAGGCCTACTCTGATTGGACTTTGTTTTCATGCTGTGATTGGTTGTGTTAAGACTTACTCTCAACCAATCAGAACATGATAATAAAGTCCAATCAGAGTAAGCCTGGAGGTTTTTTCTCATCCAATCAAAACATGCAGTCCAGGAACCTCCGTGGGCATAACCGCAGTATATAAATGATGCTGAAGACAGGTCAGGTTTATTCAGGTTCCTGTATTTTCCTGTCGAGTTGCTAGCTGCCCGTCGTAGAGGACTAAAAAAAATTAATGAAAATTGCTAAATCAATGACGCTTTCAGAAGTTCCCTGTTTTTGACATCAGAGTCATATTATAATGCTCTATTTTCTGTTTCCTCACCTAAATAGAATTTTGCTTGAGGTAATTTTTTATCTGAACTTCTGTTTGTAGAAACCAGGGACATTTATTGAATTGTTTCTGGCTGGCTATTTGATCTTAACAAAGCATTTAAATGATACTGATGCCCTGGCTTGAGCAACGGAGCATCCCAGACTTTCAGTTAGTTGCACATAGCACACATACAACTCATTTGAGTTACAGCTAAATGCAATTACAGGCCTCAGAGCTAATATATAGATCACTTCTTATTTAAGGCAATTCACCTTTGAATTGGTTAACCTTTAATTGTTGATAAAATAATAAGATGGGAAACAAAGTTGCTACCCAATATGTTAGTTTCCCCAAATAAACACTTATTTAAAGGTTCATTTGTTAATCAAGTATCTGGAAGTTGAAATACATTTTTATGAAAGGAAATAAATTTTAGGTGATGATTAGGTTTTTATCAAGAGCTGAAGTTTTTAATAACGAACAGGGAGAGATACTATGGCAAAACAGTAATTGAATAAAACATAAATTCAATAAAATGATATGAAAAATCAATGACATTTATCCTGAGTCAAATATAAAGAGAATTAAATTGAGGATGATAAAATGTTTCTAATCATTGTTCCACCAGTATTTGACCTTGAGCAAACTGCCTGGGGGCCATATTTGGTAGACAGATGAGGATGTACACTTTCTTTTAAATACTTGAGAATTAGCTTAAGTGCTATCATTTGATAACTTGCTCGGTATTTCATAAATGCCAGGAAATTAACTCAAATCCTTTGATGAGCTGCATTTTCTGTATTCAATTTGTGTAAGTTCAACAAATATTTATTGAGGGTCTTCCATATGCTGGGTATGTGTCTTCGCAAAATAAAGTACATTATGAAAGATGTGATGCTCAATAGTATATCATCAGTGAATTGCAAATTAAAATCTAAATGAGATATCACTATATATCCACTGGATTGTCTAATATTTTAAAGTTGTCAGTATTAAATATTGGGAAAAATGTGGAGCAGCTGGAACACTCATACATTGCCAGTGGGAGATTAAAATGGTGCAGCACTTTGTAAAGCTAAACATATATTTACCATACTACCCAATAATACCACTAAGTATTTACCAAGAGAAAACAATTGTCTACACAAAGACTTGTACATGAATGTTCACCGTAGCCTTATTCATCATAGCTAAAAACTGGAAACAACTCAAAAACAGAAAAGTAAATTGATGAGCAAATTGTGGTATATCAATTTAATGGGATACCATCCAACAATGAAATAAATAATGAACGATAACACTGATTGACATCAATAATCTCAAAATCATTATCCTATGTTAATGAAGCCAGACACAAATAAGTATTTTGTATATTATTTTATTTGCATAAAAATTTATAACAGGAAAATCTAATCTATAATGGCAAAAAGTAGATTCATGGTTGTCTGAGCTAAGGGGTAGAGGAAGATTGATGGACTGCAAAATGCAAAAGGGAACTCCTTGAGGGTGATGGAAATAGTCTATATCCTGATTAGCAAGGTGGTTACATGCATGTATACCTTTCTCAAAACTCATAGAACATACACTTAAAATGTGCAGTGCTGGCTGGGTGCAGTGATATGGCTCATACCAATAATGAACAGGGAGAGATACTATGGCAAAACAGTAATTGAATAAAACATAAATTCAATAAAATGATATGAAAAATCAATGTTTGACATTTATCCTGAGTCAAATATAAAGAGAATTAAATTGAGGATGATAAAATGTTTCTAATTATTGTTCCACCAGTATGTGACCTTGAGCAAACTGCCTGGGGGCCATATTTGGTAGACAGATGAGGATGTACACAGTGGTATGGCTCATACCACTGCACCCAGCCAGCACTGCACAATAAATGTCAAACATTGATTTTTCATATCATTTTATTGAATTTATGTTTTATTCAATTACTGTTTTGCCATAGTATCTCTCCCTGTTCGTTATTAAAAACTTCAGCTCTTGATAAAAACCTAATCATCACCTAAAATTTATTTCCTTTCATAAAAATGTATTTCAACTTCCAGATACTTGATTAACAAATGAACCTTTAAATAAGTGTTTATTTGGGGAAACTAACATATTGGGTAGCAACTTTGTTTCCCATCTTATTATTTTATGAACAATTAAAGGTTAACCAATTCAAAGGTGAATTGCCTTAAATAAGAAGTGATCTATATATTAGCTCTGAGGCCTGTAATTGCATTTAGCTGTAACTCAAATGAGTTGTATGTGTGCTGTGTGCAACTAACTGAAAGTCTGGGATGCTCCGTTGCTCAAGCCAGGGCATCAGTATCATTTAAATGCTTTGTTACGATCAAATAGCCAGCCAGAAACAATTCAATAAATGTCCCTGGTTTCTACAAACAGAAGTTGAGATAAAAAATTGCCTGAAGCAAAATTCTGTTTAGGTGAGGAAACAGGAAATAGAGCATTATAATATGACTCTGATGTCAAAAACAGGGAACTTCTGAAAGCGTCATTGATTTAGCAATTTTCATTAATTCTTTTAACCAAAAAAACTGCTCTTTTGTAGTCCTTTTTAAAAGAGAAAAAAAGGGAAAAATGCCTTACTTAGCCCTTGGCACACATTTTATTATTCATTTCTAACATGGCATGTCACATTGACAACTCGTTTTAAGTTTGAATTTTTCTTACTAAGTAATCATTTTGTATATGCTATTTTTTCATTGAATTACAGTGTATGAGAAGCAGTCTCTCAAATCACCACATAGAATATGTGACAATCAGTTTAGTTTGTAGTCAATGTTCATTATTCCTCTATGTTTCTTTATTTTGGTAGTTTAGTCATAGTTCTTAACAACTGCCTTGAAATTTAGAGATAAAAATAATGTCTAATTTTAGTATCTTTAGTCACAAAAATAGCTGTGGAACAAACTATAGACTAGGAAGACAGAAGGATGAGTCTTCAGATATCCTATTTCATATTAGTTGAAGAAGATTTCTTAAAACATTCCTGTTTCTCCCTACATTTATTCAGGAATTGGTTGAGGGAAAAGGAGAGTAGAGAGAAATTCAACAGATACTTAATTTCTGGTTGGTGCTTTGCCTATATATTACCGTGCTGTTGCATTACTGACACTTATCACAGTGTGGGTTGCTAGTTATTAAATGTAATGGAATAACCTGATTTATTGTTTATAACACGCATAATTTAGAAATGTTGAAGATAAAGCTCTTCAGTTTAAATTGATAAATTATCCAAGATTATATATTAATATGTGCTTGATTAAGTCGGTGAACTCAGATTTGGGCAATTCTGAGGTTCATGCTCTGTCCAATACCATAGTAAAAATTTACAAAATATTTCATGAAAGGAGACATGTGACAATTGGGAAAGCCACAAGAATTTATGAGTTAATACTTATGAAGACCTCTGAAAATCCATAAGTATAATAGATTTTTATTTAGTATGTGTTTTTCAGAAGAAATAATTTTCAGGTATTTGCTTAGTTTTTGAATAGTTAAAATTAGGCTCTTAAAATTTATTTGGAACCTGGACAACATAGTGAGATTTTGTCCTTACTTAAAAAAAAAAATTATCTGGGTGTGGTGGTGTGTATCTGTGATCTCAGCTGCCTGGGAGGCTGAGATGGGAGGAGAGTTTGAGCCCAGGAGGTCAATGCTGCAGTGAGCTGTGTTTGCACTACTGCTTACCACCTCTGATGACACAGACCTTGTCTCAATTTTTTTTTTTAAATTTGGCTTAAGTCAGTCACCTTTTATATTTAATTATAATGCAAAGTCAGTGATGTTTTGATATTTTAGATTACATATCATGGAAGATTAAAATCATCACATTATTTTGAATTTTTTTCTACTAGTTGGTGAAAAAGATATTTTTTTATGCATGCTCTAAATCTAAAATATGTATAATCAAGTCATAATCCTTAATTTACAGAAACTTGAGTATTTTATTTGGGGTATATACTATTATTTTAATATCTAGAATGGGAAACTCATTGTGGCAGAAACTCAAACAAGAGCTTCCTCTAAATTTGATCTTCCTCTTTCTCCGAACGTGTTACTATGCTTTCTAAGCATTATGAGGTTCCAGAGAAGAGATTTTCACTTTAGTTTGTATCAAATTCATGAGTGAATAAATTCTACAGTGTGCTTAAAACACTCTGAGAAGTAGGTTAGGGAAAAACTCTATAATCCTCTTATGGGTTTTTTTTAATGTGTTAATAAAATAATAATATGCCATCTACTTAAAATCCTTTTTGCAACAAGGTGCAGGGATAAATAAATAGTCCAAGTAACATGATATTTTCAATTTTAGGCAAAAGCTCTGACAAGACTTTGATCCTTCTTCAAGGCCTGGTAGGTCTGAAATAATCTTATCCGCACATGAAAAACATTCAAAGCATTTAAAGGACCTGGCTATAATTGCACAGTTCATGGTGGCAACTCATAGAATAAAGTTCAACTAATTCATTCCTTAGTCACATGTCATCCATTAGTTTAGCAATCTTGGATTCCTTAAGATTAAAGTATAATG
The DNA here is from genome assembly GCF_000001405.40 of Homo sapiens. NCBI lineage: Eukaryota > Metazoa > Chordata > Mammalia > Primates > Hominidae > Homo > Homo sapiens. The sequence goes on from NC_000015.10 coordinate 21,267,922, forward strand.
AATAGTCTCTCTTCATTTGACTAACAAAGGGGACTAATGCCTTCCGCAAAACAGAACTTTTTCTTTCCCTTTCATGATACTGTATTTATGTGTTCTCATAACAAATCTTTCCTCTTTCAGTCGCTCAGAACAGATAAAGATAAATGAAGAATAATCTATCGATATTAGCATAATTCTGTGAAGAACTATAGCAATGTCTTGTTTACAAAAGCCAATTATACAAATGTTATGCATAATGCACTCAGGAATTCATTTAAACCAGGGGTTTTGAGTTACATGTTATAAGTACTAGACAACAGCTGTTTCCCTGGTGTATGATGGAGCCAACACCAGTCAGAGGTATATTATTACATCTGATTATCAGTCAGGATAAGGTAGGCAATTCTCTGGTAACAAACCATCCTCAAATCTCAGTGCTTATATAGGCACTATTTCTTGCTCCACTAGATGGTTCATACTTGCTCACACTACCCATCATGGGTCGTTAGGAGATCTCTGCTTATGGTCACTCAGGAATTCATCTGACAAAGGAGCCACCACCTTGAATATCATGGGTCACTGTGCTGGAAGCAAAAGAGAGAAATGTGGTGGGTTTACCATCAACATTTAAGTACTCTGGCCCAGAAGTGGATTGTCACTTCTACTCATCACTTACGGGTGACAAGTGCTAGAACTGGTCACCTAACCCCACCACAAGGGGACCAGCATGTACAATCTTACCATATGGATGTAAGGAGACAGAACAGGAAATATCTGTGAAACAGTGGTATTGTCAAAACCAATGTGTAAGATTAACTTCTGCTTAAACAAGTATATGTATTATTGCAGCAGTGCTGGTCAAAAATAACTGCTGGATGGAGTAGTAGGTTACAGAAATTATGTAGACTGGGTACAACTTGCTGCAAGTAAGAGATGAGCTGCATAGTGCTAAATAAAGATGGCATACTTTCTGGAACATATGAGAAATTTGTCCTTTTAAGTATAAAGAAATGAGGTCAAGACAATAATCATTTTCACTGAAGCAGTTAGTTACATGGAGCTGATGAGTTGTTATGGATGCTTTTCAGACACTCTGGGACAGAATTTTACGGTGGAAGTATGCACTGTAATGATTCAGGACTTGACTGGCGATATTTTGGGTATCTTAACCTCCTCCTTAAATAGGCTACCAAAAATTTGAAACCAAAAGGGCTGAGAATCACTGCTTTAAAAAGTGAGTTATGATTGGAGGGAATAGGGTCCATCCTCTAATAAACAGTAAAGAAATCAGAAGTCCTGGCTGGACGCAGCGGCTCACACCTATAATCCCAGCACTTTGTAAGGCCCAGGTGGATGGATGGCTTGAGCCCAGGAGTTCGAGACTAGATTCGGCAACCTGGCAAAACCCTGTCTCTACACAAAATACAAAAATTAACCAGGTTGGGTGGCGCACCTGTGGTCCCAGCTACTTGGAGGCCGAAATGAGAGGATCACTTGAGCTCCAGAGGTCAAGGCTGCAGTGAGCCAAGATGGCGCCAGTGCACTCCAGCATGGGCTGCAGAAAGAGACGCTGTCTCAAAATAATTAAATAAATAAATAAAATAAATAAATAAGTCCTGTTGTCAAGAAGTCAGTAGACAATTTTTCCTAACACAATGATCTTAAGGACTTTATTTTTCCCATTTTTATTTCATTTTATTTACACCAAATTTCTTACTGGGTTTTCAATGCAGCTTAATGCAATATGCAATGATTTTATGTTTTTATCCACTGAGATTTGTGGATGGTTTGTTACCAGAGTATTGCCTACCCTATCTCAAAAAAATAAATAAATAGCTATATAAGAGTTTATATAAGCAATTTACTTATTGCTTATATAAGAACACTTATAAAAGCATTGAGGCTGGAGTGCAGTGGCATGACCATGGCTCACTGCAGCCTCGACCTCTCAGGCTCAAGCGACCCTCCCACCTCAGCCTCCTGTGTAGCTGGGACTACAGCTTACCATGCCAAGCTAATTTTTAAATTTTCTGTAGCGACAGGTTTCACTATGTTATCAGGGCTGGTCTCAAATCCCTGGGGTCAAGTGATCCTCCTGTCTTGGCCTCCCAAAGTACTGGGATTACAGGCATGAACCACCGCACCTGGTTTGATCTTAAACACAACTTTTCTTGAAAAAAAGTTACCATGACAAGTGCTAATTTTTTTCTCCTACTATTTGTTTTGAAAAATTTTAAACTTACAGGTTAAAATAATAGTACAATAAATATCTATATATCTTTTTACTTAGAGTCACCATTTGTTTACATTTTTCCATATTTTCCTCTATTTTAGTCTGTCTACAAACATATACATAAACATACTAAATGTATATGTATACACGTATGTGTGTATATACATTCATATACTCACACATACACATCAATATTACTTTTCTTTTGTGAGGCTATTAGAGAATAAATTTAGACACAGCATTTTTGTCCTAAATACTTCAGTATGTATCTTATAAGTACATGGATATTCTTCCACATAAGCGTGACATAATTATCACACTCAAAATTTAACAACAATAAAATTAAATATTTAATGTACAGCTCATTTAAAAATTGTCCTTGTGGTCCAAGTAATAACCTTCATAGCCACCTGCCCTTCCCCCATCCTTAATCCAATCATGAATGAAGCCTTCTGTTTAGTTACAGCCGAGACTGCTGTGGGAACCTAGATCTGCTTCTTTCATAGGGAATAACCTCAGGCAGCCAGGACCTGCTCTGCCTGTGGGGCTCACAGATTGCATGAAGTGCAAGGATGAGCTGAAAGTGTGGCTCTGAAGCAGCAACTGATGGGACAACTCTGAGGTCATCTACTTACCCTCGAGGGACTGAGGCAGCTCTCTCTGTGAGATTGCTGATATGCAACTGGGCTTGGCCTCTTTATTCTTCTTGGACCGACTTGACTTCTCACTTTCCTGTTTCTCCTGGGAACACTCGTAAGGAATGGCTCAGTGAATTTCCTTCTCAAGGTCGGCTTTGGGGATATATATTTACATATATGTATACATGTAACAAAACAAAGACCATTCCTTTTACAGATTATTCTCAATTTGGATTTTTCTGATTGTTTCATCATGATTAGATTTAGACAAAATATTGTTGACAAGAATACTACATACTACATAAGTGATGTGTCTTCCTAATACAGGTTTTTGAAATTTTAAATTCTGATAACTGCTTTTCTTCCAAGAAATGCCATTATCTTTTGGCCAGCACTCAAATGAAATACAGACATTCTTTTAAAATCGAATGTATTCTATTTTATTATGTTTTGCATTTCCCCTCTTGAGTTTCTCCTAGTTTACTAACCTCTCTACAGAGTAATAAAACTATATTATATTTTTATTCATAAGAAAAAGAAAAAAAACCTCATGCAACTGAAATTGCCTTAAATTATTCATCTCTCACACTATTCTTACTTTGATGTTTAATATTATTATTTTATCTGCTTAATCCCATAACATATATTCTGACATAAATCTGCAAATTGTTGAAAACAATTTACTTAACATTTCAACTACTTAAAATTTTATTTTATTTCAGACACCTAGAAAAATAGTTCTAAATTCTACAAAACCAAGAAAAAAAAAAAAGGGGGGGATTTTTCTTGGACTCTGTTCGAAGTTTCAAGCCTACCATCAGATCTGTCCCAGACATAACTTCTCAGAAAGCTCTAATGGGATTTTGCCCTGTATAGTTTCACTGAAACAAAAAAGTGACAGCTGCTTCCCCTTCCTTCCCTTCCTCTTCCCTCTCCCCCACCCTCCTCCTCCTTCTCCTCTTCCTTCTTCTTCTTCCTTCTTGCACATGTCTGATCTCTTTTTCCTGGCCTCTAATTTAGCAGCCAGTGATTGGGTGATGAATGACTAATCTGAGGGTCGGAGCTTCTTTCCTGAAGCTTCCTGAAAAAAATCCCCCAGTAATTATAGGTTGCAAAAAACCTCTTCTACTTATTTAGCCATTTGCTCTTTTAGGTTCTTTTCATTTATTTCAAATTAAATGATACTTTCTTTTCTCCCAAAATTCAAACTGGAGTTTCTTTGACTTCCTTCAGGTGCTGCTACATTAATTCAATGCATGTTGCATTTTTAATGAATAATTTTAGGTAGTGAATTTCAAGTTCTGTATCAATTTCATTAATTCTACTTAAGTTGGGTTCCCACCGTAATGAACTTTTAAACATGTGTATTATTGTTTGGCCAAAAGCACCAAATGGGTGTTCAGCTTACATTCTAATGACTTCCCTTCCTTCCTTCCTCGCTCCCTCTCTCCCTCTTTTCCTTCCTTCTTTCCTTCCTTCCTCCTTTCCAGCATCAGCTTTAGCAAGGAGCCCTAGCAGAAGACACCAGAAGGTTTCCAGCTGACTTGTCTCTTTTGTTCCTAAACCACTACTAACAGCAATATTAGTCATCACTTCCCCCACTGCCCACTGTGCTATTTAAATCTCCCTCTTTGGGTATATTTTTTCCTAAGTTTCCTTTTTCACTCCATAGTCAGGGATGTGGGGGAAACACTCCAGGCAACACCTCCCACACACGGCCACATAAATATTTATTAGCTTTTTATTTGTATCAATCTGTTCTGTACAACCTGTACAGCTTTTCATTGCTGACATCCTTTTTATTATTTCAAATAATAGTTTAGTATGAGAGTTAAAAGAAACATATCTTTGTTCTTGTTCTGAATCATAGAAAATTTAAACCGTCACAGGCCAGTGAGAATGTATGATTCCCTTTTGAAACATTTAAGAGGCATAATTTTGACAGTCTTTGTTTAACAAAGACTTTGCTTTGTTTTGACAGTCTTTGCTCAGTAACTCTTATATGACTGGAAATTTTCTAAAGCTACCTTAGATCAGTTGATAGGCTATGTTTTCTCTTTCAATCTGTATGAATTCAATAAATGTTTTAATGAGAGTTTTCTAAGCACCAGATGCTGTATCAGGTACTAGGGATGACTATGAAATGACTCAGCTCCCAAGAACTTTATAATAGGGCTTAAGCAGTGTCATAACTAATACAATCCTAATAAAAGCATGCTGTGTGTTCAGACCTAAAAGCTTGCTGTGTGTGTGCATTTAGGTAAACAGTTTCATCTCTCTGGACCCTAGCTCCTCTCTGTAAAATGAAGGAGTTGAATTCAATGATATATTCTATTATATAACACCATAAAAACACTTTACCATATGGTGTGCTGGTCCTGGACCTGTTTGCACTCAGATCCATCCTTCTGCTCTGCCTTGTTCTGGGGTGAAGAAGTTGATCCTCGGCAGGGTGACTTTTTCAGGCTCTAGAGAATTTCTGAAAGGACTGAGTCAACGGGCAGCAGGAATATATCAACCATGGAAAATTAGAGAGCAGGGTGAGGAGCGGTTTTTGGGGGAGGGAGCTATCAAGACACTCCCTCCTGTTTTCAGCCTAAGGTGGCCTCTCCAGTGGCTTTATCTTCTCTGTGACTCCAGCCCCCATTGTATCGAGGCCACCAGAGATCCAGTCTCCCAGAGTGGTCCTCTTGGTGCCAGTAATTCCATGTTTTCCTTTTGTCTCTCCAGCCCAAGAATGATAAAGACTTCCTGCTATCGTCAATCTCCCAGGATTATTTTAGAGCCCTCTGTTTAATTCTCAGCCTCTCCACTCTTCATGGACCCACCACTGCTTTCCATTCCTTCTGCTGTGAACATTTGAGATGATTTCTGCTTTCTTGGTTAATCTATGGCTAACCACAGTGTTCACCTCTACTTTATTTTATAATTGAGGAAGGAAAATATGAGCATAGATACATTAAAGGAGCAGACCCAAACTAGCTCCTTGTATCCAAACAAAATGAAAGAAGGTTGTATCCAAACCTTCTTTTGATGCTGGTATCTATTTTTTGGTGCTTAGATACCAGCATCAAAGGAAGGTTTGTTTTATGCTTATTCTCATGGCCCAATAATGAGATGCAGATGAACTGGATAGAAGGGAGTTTATTTATATAACTAGGTACAGAGAGAAGGCTGGGAAATATTGCCAGACCAACTCAAAATTATAAAGTTTTCCAGAGCTTATACACCTTCTAAGCTATATGTCTATGTGTAAGTATGTAAGTGTGCATTCATCTAAAGACATAAGTAATAAACTTTTTTTTTTTTTTTCTTGAGACGGAGTTTTGCTCTTGTTGCCCAGGCTGGAGTGCAATGGCGCGATCTCGGCTCACTGCAACCTCTGCCTCCTGGGTTCAAGTGATTCTCTTGCCTCAGCCTTCCAAGTAGCTGGGATTACAGGTGTGCACCACCATGCCAGGCTAATTTTGTATTTTTAGTAGAGATGGGGTTTCTCCATGTTGGTCAGGCTGGTCTCAAACTCCCGACCTCAGGTGATCCACCTGCCTCGGCCTTCCAAAGTGTTGGGATTATAGGCGTGAGCCACCCCATCCGGCCAAGTAATCAACTTCTAACCTATAACTAAAATCTGAGTACTGAAGACCTTCCTCTGGAGCCTTAGTAAATTTTCTTAATCTAAATGGGTCCAGGTGCCAGGGTGATTACCCTTATCTTGTCTCCTGCTAAATCATGGAGGTTCCTTTAGTCCCCAGTAAAGCTTGTTTGTGGAGGTCTAGGGAGTTCCTTTAGACCCCCAATAAAACTTGTTTAATCCTAAATGGGTCCTGTTAGGAATTCCTTCGTTATCTTGTCATACTTCAAGGCCCAGGGAAGACCTAGGCAAAACTCTTGGTGGGTTTTGTTACATTCCAGCCTTTGTATGAGGACATTGGCCCCATCAGTTTTTAATATTTATCTTAACCACTCAGTCAGTGCTGAAACAGTTGTCATGGAGGCCTGCCTATTCAGCTGTTAGTGAGACCTGGCCTGCCACACTTTCAGTCAACTATTGAAGGACACACAAGATTCTCTTTTATTATTATTATTATTATTATTATTATTATTATTATTATTAAAGCTGCCATGTTGAATCTCTTGAAAGTTAAGGCCCATGTAAATCGAGGTGGGGGAAACCTTTAGTGAACTACATCACTCTGTGTGCTTCCTGGTTCTTAGGACAGATGACTTTATTACAGCCTCTGAATCTATCAAATGTGTCCATTTTTCACCAGGAATGTTAATTAAAAATAAAATTATAGTGATAAATGTATTAGCAACCTAAAGTTTGGTAAGAGAAAGATATGTAAAAAACCTCTTTTTTAAAGACGAGGCTTAGGCATCCTGCTTCTTCTCCAACTCTTTTATCTCCATTTCCTTTAGGTTGGTAAGATACTTTCTTTATTTCTAGCAATTTCACCAGAGAGGTCAACAATCAAACTTACGGTGGTTTTACTTTAAAATGATAGGTAGGCAAACTTGTGGAGATACTCTTTTATTTAATTTATTCATTAAAAAAAGAGGTGGGATGAAAATCCACCCATTCCCACTACCCCTTACTTTGGGTATGGGTGCGAGAGAGGAGAAGTTCATGGTGATTGGGTGACAAGGAAAGTGATAGTACCATTGCTGATACAGGGAGAGTCCCAGAGAGAGAAACTAGCTGGAGGTTAGAGTATTACTTTCCTGTGGTAGGTGGCTTAAAACAGACATTTAGTGGATAAAACAACACACATTTATTTACTCACAGTTCCAGAGGCCAGAGTCTGAAATCAACATCACTGGCTTAAAATCAAGGTGACAGCAGGGCTGTCTCCCCTCTGGAGGTTCCGGGGGAGAATCTGTTCCTGACTTCCGGTGTCTGGTGGCTGCCAGCATTCCTTGCCTTGTGACCACATCGCTTCAATCTCTGCTTCTATGGTCACACTGATTTTTTCCTGTTCTTTGATGAAGTTTCCTTCTCAATCCCTCTTATAAAGAGACTTGAAATTGCATTTAGGGCCCACCTGGATAATCCCCAGGAAAATCTCCCTGTCTCAAGATTCTTAGTCACATCTGCATAGTCCCTTTTGCTATGTAAAGTAACATTCACAGGTTCCAGGGCTTAGAATGGGGACATCTTTGGAGGCCTTTATTCAGCCTACTACAGTCAGATAAAGCACACAGAAAAGCTGGTGTGGGTTTTATTTGTATGTTGTCTCTGAGTGTTTTCAAGGTTAAGATCTTTCAAGGACTAAAGAATATTGGTTAATTCCTAACATCCTGGGCTATACAATTAGTGTAGAAAGAATACGCCCTTTTGGGGTGGATGAGTCAAAATACTCACACTTTATTAAAACCATTTTAGTGAATTTTACTGTTTGTTCTGTGGATGTTACAGAAAAAGGCATATTCTCTGTATAGTGTAAAGCTTAGTCATGCCTATTAAAGATATTTTGTCATTCCGGAAATTCTGTTTTATCTCCTAGATGTATGTTACAGTTATGTTAAAGTTTTATGTAAAGTTTCCTTTCCTTCCTAACAGTTTTTATTTTATGTATTTCCTCAGTGTATGGATTGTTTGTGATGCTTATGTTTGCACTGTGCATTGTAACTTTTACAGGTGTATAATAATCATTTTATCCATTTCATATTTTTTGCCATGATACATGATGCTGTGTCTGATTCTAATATTTCTACCTGTCTATTCCTCTAACTTTTCTATGTTCCTTTTGACCAGGGAAACTTTTGAATCCCTTTATTTTCAACATTTCTTTGTCAATTTGTTTATACATGTGCTTCTTATAATTAGTAAATTTAGATTTTTACCTTTTGATATAATCTGATTTTATTTGCCTTTTATTGTTATCTTTTAAGCCATTTATATTCACTATGCCAAGTCAGGTATAGTCTTATTTTGCCATTTTATTTTATTCTTTGTGATTTATACTTATTGTTTTCTTCTTCCCTATACATTATATGTCATTGTAGCTCCTCTTTCTTCCTATTAGTTATTTTTTCTACAAATTTTATTCTATATTCCCATTTGTAGAATGCACATTTTTGTTCTACAGTTATATATATATTCACATATGCACATTATATGTATATAAAAATATACATATACACAGAGATTAGCATATATATGTAATTTTCAACCAATTATAAGAATGGAAGACTATTACTGGTTCTCCTATATAAGAGACTTATCACACTTTTACTTTCCTCTTCTCTACTCCTGCTCAACATGTATTAATTAATTAGTTTTTTAGGTCAAATTCCTGGTATTAAAAATATTATTTTTTATTTTGTTTATTTTCTTTCCCAAGAAATATATTTGATACAAGAATTATGTAACATATTGATGTTAAAAACTAGTAATTATTTATTAATGTGAATTTTAATGGATGCAGTACACATAATCAATTTTTAATATCATATTACCTCTTGAGATGTAACAGTTTTATTTATTCTTTTAGTCAGCTGTGGTATTTTCTCAAGTATCAAAGAATTATTTCCCCCATGAATGGTAAATGGATACTTGCATTTTCTGATTTCCTCTCACTTGACTAAAAGTTTGGTTGCCTGCAGAATTTTTTAATCTGAATTCGCTGATGGATACCTGGGTTGCTTCTACTTTTTAACTATTCTGAATAATGCTGCTGTGACAGTCATTTAAAAATATAAAAAAAATTAAGCATTTTTTTGGGGACTGAGATATGCTTAAGATAAATTAACCATCATAGGAGAACATAAAACATAAATATCTAAGGGTGAACTAGAACCCAAAGGCCTAGTCTGGGTCATAGGATATTATGGAATGAAAGAATAACCCATACTGATGAAAATGTCACTTACCAAGATGATGATCTTACAGTGTAGGAACAGCAATTGTTTAGCTACAAAATGTGTGGTAATCATGACTTGCAGAAATAAGACTGGTAAAGTCTCCAAGAAACTTTCAGGATTCCTAAAACCAGTCCTTTGTCCAAAAGTCATCTTCATAGTAGTGGCCATATCCTGAATGAAGTTACTCAGTTCTTAAGAGCATACTGTCTAGGTCTGAAGAAGAATACGGAGAGTGAAGGCAGATTCATGGACCAAGGAAGATATTCACAAATAGAACATACAATGGGGGAAGAAATGATTTTAAGGAGAAATGACAATGACAATGACAGTGGTATGTAGTATGTAGGGGGGCCATTGCTTTCAATCTTGGAAGATGAGTTCAAGTTTTGATTGCATCAAAATGGAGTCACACTGAAGTTCTCAGGTAGAATTAGCCATACATCCTTTGCTTCTGGGTTTCTGAGATATTGGTGACAAAACTGAAACTAAGAACAGATCTATTGTCAACTATGATTGTCTTGCCTCCTTTTTTTCTCTGATCTTGTTTACTGCCTGAGTTTCCCTTCACATTTTACCACCACAACTAAGCAGGGACCTTATTTATTAAGGGTACATTCTTGCATATTTCTGCTTTAACATAGCATTAGTTAGTTCAGTATCGTATGAGTGAATTTGGGGGAGAAGTAACCAGTGTCTGTATCTGCTACAGACAATGAGAAGATTGTCTTACTGCAATATTTTAGGCATCTGCCTTGACTTCGAATGAACGTTCCTGTCCATACCCTAAAGGAGAAAAGAGTTGCACTCATATTATTAAATACCCTCTAGATTTTAGCGAATATATGGACTACTTTTTTTAAGCAAATCTGTAAGGGCAGTTGTCATTGTGGAGAACTGTGGGTTTAGTTAGTCTCCCTTAATAATACAAATGGAGAAAATTTAGTTGAGAACATTGTTGAATTTTTAGTGGTCCAGCGATATCTCTTTGTGGAGAGAGCATTTGCTTTATTAAATCTCCATTAGATAAACTCACATTTTTATAGGAGTGTTAAGAGAAAATCTCTCCAAGTGTTTAAGCCTGGGAAAATGAGAGAGAGGAAATACAGAACGAGGTCATGTGAACCGTCAATTGTGAATAAGAGGAAAAGTCAGAACCAAAGAAAAGCCCTTAGTGTGCAGAAGAGGTAGAGATTGAAAATGAGCTGTCAAAAAGAAATGCGGGGGATAAGCTAGAATAAAACACCTAAAGAATAAATTTCAAGGAAAAAGAGGAACATTAATAGGGCTAAATTTGATTAAACTTGACTGAGATAAAGGGAGAGAGAAAGGTGGTTTGATTTGGGGATTAGGTTATTAGTGACAATCTTCATAAGCAGGTTTCAAACGACTTGTAGTAGTAGAAACTGGGATGAAGGGAACTGTAGTAATTTAGGAAGGACAGGTAGAGTATCAGTATCTTTGAAAAGTTTGCAGGTGATGAGATCAATGAGAATAAATGATAACTTAATGGGGTGTCACAAAATCACCTTAAGTTGGCTGGTGAAGACTTGGGCAGTTTTTAGGAACAGATTATATTAATATTAAAAATAGGAAAAAAGAGCAAAGAAATATATTAGGACTTCTAGCTACATGGTAAACAATAAACTCTGGTTTTACTAAATATATTTGACACATATTATAGAATTTTCCTTGCAAATGTTGTTACAAATTATATGATATTTCCTCTTTTCCAATTTTCCTCTTACAAGGTAAATTCACCTAATTTTTATTATGATATATTTGTAAGGGGAATTGAATTATAAGCTTTCTCAGGTTAAAATAAGGACAAAACAAAAATTTTCTGATAAAATTTTCTTGCAGTATGCCACCATTTGCCAAAGGAAGTCAGCCATTGTAGCCTTTTCTGTAATCTTAAGTTTTTTGGACAGATATCTATTGTGCAAACTAAAATTTAGTTCTAATTCCATTCATATTAGATATATTTATTTAATACAGTATTCCGCTTAATACAGACTTTATAAATAGAATCACATTTTATTTTTAAATGTCATATCCTAGAGGAATGTTTGTACAAATCATTTAAAAATGAATAGTTTACAAATAACTTAGCTTTAGTCTTTAAGTATTTACATACATTTATTTATGATTTGTCACACATAAAAGGACATTCTTCTTCTTAATTATATCTTGCTGATACTTAATTTTAAAGTTTTTTTTTGTTTTAATTACACAACTGGTGGTGACAATATAACCCTAGATGGCTATGGTATATTTGTTCAGGTGCCTTGAGAAATACCAAAATTTTTGACAATGTTTTTTTTCCTTTGGGTCAGATCTTTTTTATTACAATGAAAGATAAATTTCAGTAAACTAAGAGACAGAGACTCTACACAGAGTTTCAGTTTCCCCTTAGCTCCTATAAAATGGAATGTCATGCTACTGAGATATCTCATGCACTGCTCTTGCCTTCTGTCTGAAGATGGGATTCATGAATTACCTGAATCATCTGGATCCCTAGAATTGGATTAGTGGCTCAGACAACTCCATCTTTTGGGACAGATGATAGAAGGTATCTATTTCCTACAGCTAGGTTTTTGCAGTAAGATTACATAACTCTTATTTGATCTTTCTCATTATTTTTTTCAGGACATAAATTGTGTTCCAATTCTGATATCCAATGATCTTACCTCATTTGGGGTAGGTTAAAGTAGATACTCATTAGGACTCTAAGGAGCATATTTTTCTACTTAGTGCAAACGTCAGAAAGTAAGTAATCATGTTTAAACTGACAAGAGCTTTAACCAGGAAGTTGCCTACATCACAAGATCTCCTTCCTGTGGTAGTGTGCATGGAGTCTTCCACAAAGAGACAGACAGATGCCTGCAATAACCGGCTTAAGAAAAGATAACCATCAATACCACTGGTTGATTTCATCTGCTCCTATGAGAAGGACAGATTGTACATGGTGCTGTCAGATGATCTCAGAACATAAAGAGATTTCCTGAGAGATCGTTATAATATTGGGATAAAACTTTACTGCAAAAATCTCATAGAGTGAATGAATGATAGAGGTAAACAAAAGTTTATTCTATTAAAACTTACATTTTGCAGCTTATTACAACATATGTTATGATTTGAATGTGTCCCCTCCAAAGTTCAATCATTGCCAATATGATGGTATTAAGAAGTGATTAAGATAGGTATTAAGATGGTCTTTAAGAGGTGATTAGGCCTTACAGTCTCTTCCTGGCTAATGGAGTTAAAAAGCCCTTACAAAAGAGACGTCCCGCAATGCTTGGCTAGTTGCCCTTCCACCTTATGCCATGTGAGGATGCAGCAAGAAGGCCCTCACTAGATCAAATGCCTAGAGCCTTGACCTTGTATTTTCCAGCCACTGAAACTGTGAGAAAGTAATTTTTTTTTCTTTATAAAATAGTCTGTGGTATTTTGTTATAGGAGCACGAATGGACTAAGACAACATGCATGTAATTAACAAATGGGTCTTGGGTATAGGCATGAAGGAGATAGCTTTCCAGTTTGCTAAGAGATGTCTAAACTGGACATCCTTAACAGCTGCCCCTCCACCCATAACCATTGCACCGGTTTCTATATAAAAGGTCAGAACTCTGCCTTTTACTTCGAGAACTTCTTTTCTGGGAAGGTCTAACAGCTTACTATCCAACCCATTATAACTAGCTATAATATTCTGTCAAATTCCTTCAAATTGATTTCTCTGTCTCAGACCACCATAACCCATCACAATTCTGAAAGCTGAAATAGGATGAGCACCCTCTTCTCTACAGATAGCCCTATATGGAACCCTTGGCTTCTGCTGAGATAAGATTTGAGATAGGAGAAAGAGAAAAGCTAGTTTGCCAACCAGAGGGAGGATGATGTGTTCAGTTTGCAAATGGTAAGATTTAGATGTTCTGTAGACAACTAGGAGTATTGGAATCCAGGCTTGGATGAGAGGTTTGGTTTGGTACATCAATTGAGTAGTCATTAGTATAAAAATTACAACTGGGCCGGGCGCGGTGGCTCATGCTTGTAATCCTAGCACTTTGGGAGGCCAAGGCAGGTGGATCACCTGAGGTCAGGAGTTCGAGACCAGCCTGGCCAACATGATGAAACCCCATCTCTACTAAAAATACAAAAAATTAGCTGGGCTTGGTGGTGGGTGCCTGTAATCCCAGCTAATCGGGGGAATGAGGCAGGAGAATTGCTTGAACCCGGGGGGTGGAGTTTGCAGTGAGCTGAGATCGCACCACTTCACTTCAGCCTGGGCAAAAGAGTGAAACACCATCTCAAAAAAAAAAAAAAAAAAAAGACAACTGGAGCTAGAAGGCAGGATTTGTAGGCAAAGGGGAAGTAAGTGGAGAGAGATGGGGATTGAGGACCCAGTCTTGCAGCAAGAAGAGGAAGAGAGTTACTGAAGGAGATGTGAAAGCCAGGTAGAGAGGTAAGAGAAACCTATTACAACGGCCCCATCACAGGGGGCCTTCACAGTCACACAGGCTTCACATTTGGATCTCTAAATGAGATCATGTCTCTATATTTTGTGAATATGTATTAAACGTTTAATTTAGAAGCAATAAATATTTAAAACATACTGAAATGTTGGGACACTGTAAAAGAAATGGGCTGTGTGTAGTGGTCACACCTGTAATCCCAGTGCTTTGGGAGGCTGAGGTGGGAGGACTGATTGAGCCCAGGAGTTTGAGACCAGCCTAGGCAACATATTAAGACCCTGCCTTTACAAAAAAAAAAAAAAAGTTGGGTATGGTGGTGCATACCCATAGTCCCAGCTACTTGGGAGGCTGAGATGGGAGGATTGCTGGAGCTCAGGGATTTGAGGCTGCAGTGAGTCATGATCACACCACTGCACTGCAGCCTGAGCAACAGAGCAAGACTCTGCCTCAAAAAATAAATAAATGAATGAAAGAAATGAAAGTTGCTTGGATTCTTACTAACTTGTGATTAGTCTTGGGAGGAAAATTAGAAGACTGTTCCAGGAACAGGCAATTGAGGTTGTCAGAAAAGTGAGATGTTGGCAAGATGTCAAAGAGAATAAGAACTGAGAGAAGACCATGATGTTCAGCAAGGGGGCCACTAGAACTCCATAAGAGAGAGGCCTGGGTATTGTGGTCAGAGGAAGTCAAGGAATTAGTAAATGCTAAAGAAAGTGGGACAGGTCTCAAGCATCCTTTAGAGAAGTTTGGCAATTAGAAGTGTGTGTGTGTGTGTGTGTGTGTGCGCGCGCGCGTGCGCGCGCACGCCAGTGTTCATTTTTACCTCTCATCTCCTATCTCGTCCAATACCTAATATTCTCTAGGGAAATGGAATCCTGGCTGAAAGGCAGGCTTGTCCTTCAGCTGTCACAGTGCCCAAGAAGCGCACAGCAGGGAGTCTTTTTTTTTTTTTTTTTAAATTTACGCTGTGGTGCTGGGAGCCAGAGACAGAGACAAAAAAAGCTGTCCTGGAGTCTGTTGCATTGTGACTGAATCAAGTTATCTATAAAAGGACTCAAAATAGGAGTCTGGGTTCACAGCTTAAAGGAATGAGGCTAAACAGCAGAAAGGCTCAAGCAACCACTGGTGGAGGGGAACAAGTAAGAACTTGTCTGGAGAAGTCTGGCGCCAAGTATAAATACCCACTGCTGACATTCACACATTCCCAGCTTGCTTGTCCAAGGGCAAGCAGGAGTCATTTACAGCCTGAACCTAATAGGCATCTAATATTGTTATGTGTTGTCATATCTCAACCACCACCATCACCACCACTCCCAGCTAGCACTCACAGAGCACCTGACCTGGGATCAGTGCCTGAATCAGAAACAGAAACTTCTAGACTGATGTGGTTCAGTGGTGCTTACATAGGCTATTGTTTACTACATCTGCACCCACCTTTCAGGAAGCATTTGGCTTGTACATTTAGCTCTGTGGCCCACTGAAGAGAATTTCCTGTGGGCAGTGGGGTGAGGAACCCTGCCTTAATCTGTTTCTCAGGTATTCTTCTCCCCTGCTTTTATGTGTCAGAACCTGTATAATCATTGTAGGGCCTATCCAGGAGTAGGCAGAGCCAGAGTGCCCATTCCTGATGTCCACAAAGTACAGTAATGCACCCAGGCTTGATTTGGAGCCACTCTTGCCTTCCTGACTGTTTTCAAAGATATGTCGCATGGCCTCTGAGCCAGTGCAACAAGCCTTGCAGGCATTGGTATTTGCACAACAAATAGTATTTTTTTTTTTTTTTTTTTGCTTAAATAAGGGAAATAGGGAATATTTATCACAGCTATACATTTATTCATCATTTAATTCCCATTTATTTATTCATTAATTTATTCAAACACTTCTTAAGCATGCACCATGTGTCATGCCCATCTTAGAGGCCACAAAGGTTCTAAAACTATTACTTGTGGACAGAAAAAGAGACCCATATACATGTAGCATTATGTCTTATTGGAATTCAGAGCAGGAAGAGAACACATCTGGCTGGGGGCAGGATGAGGAAGGACCTGATAAATTTTCTATTGAACAATTACTCTAAATAAGTGTGCTTTCTTTAGATGGTAAGGATTAGACCAGGATTCAAGATTACTGGATTTTGAGTCAAAGTTTGAGCTCCTTGGGGGAAAATCTGCATATATGCAGAGTCATGGTGGTAATTACAGTATTAAGCCCCATTTTGGAACACTTTGATCTGATCTGATTCAAAATTTTATTTCCTGAAAGGTTTACTCATGTCATATTAAGGTACTCTTGTCTTTTTATTTGCAAACTCATTTAAAATCTAAATACTGCTGCTCTCTGCTTTGGACTTGGCTGCTTTTCAATAACAGGAAGGAACAATACTGTTTTCATCAGTTTTGTACATGGGCCACGAGAAGGCAGCATTTTACTTCTTTTAAGATTTAATGCTGGTCTACAAAATGCTGAGCTGTGCCTGGAGGGCTTTGTGGTGTGGAAAATCTTCAGAAATGTTCAGTGAAACCCAGCATCCTCTGATTCATCTTTAAAGAGGAGAAAAAATTATTCTATGTGACTCTATTACCAATCTTTGGGCAGAGAACCAAATAATTCGGCCAGGCTCTCAGTCTTCATGGTTGAAAAGTTATCAGGAAATTTAAAATTTAAATTCATAGTTACAGAGCCACTAGTGAAAATTTGCTTTTTAATGAAAAATTTTTTTTTGGTCTACATTTTCACCCTCTGCGGTGGGGGCTCTTTTAAATGCCCCTGTTTAACCATACTGCATCCAGAAATGTATACATATCACAAACCTGTTGGTAATGACACCAAGGCAAGCTCCGTTTCCTTTCCCATCATCGGTGGACCACACCTACACCAGCGCTTCCTTCTGCGCATCCTATGGCACCCGTCTACTTTCTGCTTTGGGAATCCCCACAGAGGCTAGCACAGTGCTGAACTTGTAAAACGTACACAATAAACGTTCTATTTCTTGAACGACATTGGATGATAATGCAATCTCTCTCTTGTAAGAGAGAGGAGAAAGAGAGAGAGAGAAGTGAGAGGAGAGAGAGACAGAAGAGAAAGGTGAGGGGGGAGGGGAGAGAGACACAGAGACAGAGTCAGAGACAGAGAGAGACCAAAAGGGAACAGCTGGCAGCAGCAGGGAGGCAGGCTTGAGGAGTTGGTGTCTGATTTACGTGGGGGCCACAGATTGGTTTGATCAGGTGTGAAGTTTACAGGGCGCTGGGAAGGCTGGTTGCCCCACCCTAATCTTATGCAAATGGGCTTTCCACTTGCTCAGCGCCATCTCATCTACTCTTTACTGTACACGTGGCTGGCAAAGAGAAGGGAAGATAGAGCTCTCGTTTTGAACATGTAATTCCAGGTAGTATTTTCCTATTGGCACAACTTCACGCATTTGCCTGTGCAGGCTTCCACTTCGCTTGCCTATGTCTGCAACTTCATTTTACAGTCTGCTCTTTGTTAGGAAAATAAATGATTTGAGGGCTGCTTTTAATTAAAAGGTAAAACTTACCAAGGACTCCTGTACCCTCACTATCTGCCTAACTAATTTCTTCTTAACTCCTATATCAACAAAACCCCACGATAATTTTTTTCCTATGAAAAAATATTTTATTTGAAGAAATTAACGTAAGCTGTGTGTGGTGGCTCACACCTGTAATCCCAGTGCTTTGGGAGGCCAAGATGGGAGGACCCCTCGAGGCGAGAAGTTTGAGACCAGCCTGGGCAACATAGGAAGACCCTGTCTCTATAAAAAGTTAGAAAATTAGCCGGGCATGGTAGTGTGCACCTGTAGTCCCAACTCCTTGGGAGGCTGAGATGGGAGGATCATTTTTGGCCCCAGGAGTTTGAGGTTACAGTGAGCTGTGATTGTACCACTGCACTCCAGACTGGGTGACAAAACAAGACCCTGTCTCCAAAAAAAAAAAAATTAATATAAAATGTGGAACTTTTCGCTAGTGGAGATGAATGAATATACTGTGCAGATTTATGGAAGTATGACATCTAAAAAGACCAGAATAGTTCCTAAGTGAAAAGCGGAAGGATATGCCCTAGAAGAGGGCATAACTGAATGTGTGGGGAAGGTTTTCAAACTTTACTCCTTCTAATGCAAACCTCTGTGACCCCTTACAACCCCTTCCTCTGGATGGGTATCATTCCATATCATTACAGGCAGTACTGAGAGGGAGATTACAAATTGTAAACATTTTCAGAGGTGGGAGGAGAAAAGATGGAAACCATAAAGACACAGCTATATAAAAGGTTAATTGCATATATATTTGGTTATGGTAATTTCTGTATATATGCTTCATATCTTTTACAGTCAGTGTGTTAGTGGCAAATAAATACGTAGAACTTACTTCAAAATATTTTGTTGTTTCTTAAAGTGCCTAATTGTACCATAGTCCAACACGAAGCCCTTTTATAAGAGAGATGGAAGAGCATGCAGAATCTAATCATTAGATTCAATAAGTAAATATGTATTGAGTACTGATGAAGTACCAACTAAACATTATGATTCATTTTGATAAAACAAGCCAGTCACATTAGTAAGAAACAGCTCACTCTGGCTGGAGAACTTGTTCCCTACTTTCACAAGGTTGACTTCTTAATCTGATCAAATGAAAATGTCATGTTCACCAGAAAGGCCATTTCTGATCATCTAATTTATAGACTGAACACCCCTCACCCTGTCATTCTACTTTACAGCACCTTGTTCTGTTCACAATTTATAATTGTATTATCACTTTTTTACTTGATTAATGTCTGTCTCACTCATAGATCGTGAACTCCATGAAAGCAAGAATCAAATCTGTTTTGAAGCACTCCCAGCATTTAGGGAAATACCTGAAGTAGAAGGCATTCAGTAAATACTTGTGGAGTGAATGTATATATTCTTGCTCTATATGTGAAAACACCATTTATTCATACAGTTAAACTATGATGTCAGTATTATGTCAGATTATTATAATGTCATATTCATTAACAACGAGACCCATAGTAAAAACAAAAATGTATTTGACAAACTGTTCATTAGTAGGAAATTGAGTTTAGTATAGATGAAATTTTCAGGTAAGATATTCTTATCTTTTTGAAGATATGACAGCATATTTAAGCTTTGGGCAAGGCAGACTTTTTTTTTTTTTTTTGAGACAGATTTTCACTCGTTGCCCAGGCTGGAGGGCAACGGTACGATCTCGGCTTTCCGCAACCTCCGCCTCCCGGGATCAAGCAATTCTTCTGACTCAGCCTCCCGAGTAGCTGGGATTACAGGCATGCGGCACCACGCCCGGCTAATTTTGTATTTTTAGTAGAGATGGGGTTTCTCCATGTTGGTCAGGCTGGTCTCAGACTCCCAATCTCAGGTGATCTGCCCGCCTTGGACTTCCAAAGTACTGGGATGACAGGCGTGAGCCACTGCGCCCGGCCTGGGCTATTTTTGTTTCCCACAGATGTTTACACCAGAATGGCTGTTGCCCGGTTTGATTGCGCCAGTGTCTGACAGCTGTGTGGTGCCTGTATCATAACAGTTGTTAAATAATTTGAATATATAATGTTTAAATATGTAGCTTGTCTTTGATCTTTTGACAACAGAGATAGCTTCATTTACCTAAAGGGGTACTGATTTTAAAAATTAATTCATTTGAATTTAAACACAGCATATGCTAGACAAAACTCTTAGGGAAAGAATATGTATATACGTGCATGTAAACCACACAGACTGAAAGAGAAGCATTCAGTACATAAATTATTAGGCTCAAGTAGGAGGTTACTATAGAGTTAGCTGCTACTTATTTTCAGAATTTGATTTTATATTTTGAATTGGAAGAATGCCGATCTGGGAGTCAAAAACTCTTAATTTTGAGCCATGGATGCATAACCTTGGGTATTTTAATATTGGGCTTAGTTTACTGGTTTGCAAAAGAGATGAGTGGACAAGATATCTTTAAAGTCTATTCTAGGCATGAATTTTCATGATTCTGCAGTATATGTTCCTTTTAAGAAGTGAGACATTACCAGGATAAATATAGGAAAAACTAGTAGTATCCCCTTACCCCCTCACCCTCCTGAGTAACCAATTTAATATGCACAGAACATCCTTCTATCATCCTTTTTGGTACACACAAACATATATAAACAAAAATAAATGTATGTAAGCTTTCTTGCCTGAAAAAAGTAAAATAAAATATACATTATTCAGATGTGTTTCCCTGCTAATAGACATCTGAAAGTCTTCAGTTTTTATTTTTGTCACTATAAATAATATTTCAGTAAACACCATTGTAGAAGTATCACTATATGCTGATGCTTTTGTTTTTTTTCTGTCAGATACATTTTTGAAAATAGGATTTTTGGGTCAAAGGTATATGCAGTTTTCATTTTAATAGATAATTGCTAATTTATTTCTAAAATATTTGTGGTGATTTAGAATGGTAACAGTGCCAATTGCCAGCACTGAGTTAATATTTTGTTTTCTATTGCTGCTCACCTGAAGGCTAAAAATGATGCCATTTTAGTTTAATTTGAATTATCTAGATTTTGTTGGAACAAGAAAAAAGAATTCTACTTGCATCTCTTCAAATGATGGGTCTGCATACCGTCTACTATGAATTGGCAATTCGTAGCCTTTGCATATGTCCATTTTAATATGATCAACTTTTAGATATTATATATACTGTAAATATTTTTTCCAGTCTTTAGTTTGTCTTTCTGCTATGGTTTACATAGCGAGATATACTTGTTTTTTATAAAATAGGTGGTTTGTTTTCTGTCGTTCTTAAGTGAGAAGATCTTCACCAAGGGCTTCCTTCTGGAATTTTTATAGGTTTATTTAAAAATATTGGCCGGGCGCAGTAGCTCACGCCTGTAATCCCAACACTTTGGGAGGCCGAGGCGGGCGAATCACGAGGTCAGGAGATCGACACCGTCCTGGCTAACACGGTGAAAACCCATCTCTACTAAAAATACAAAAAATTAGCCAGGCGTGGTGGCGGGCGCCTGTAGTCCTAGCTTCTCGAGAGGCTGAGGCAGGAGAATGGCGTGAACCCCAGAGATGGAGGTTGCAGTGAGCCGAGATCGTGCCACTGCACTCCAGCCTGGGCAACAGAGTGAGACTCTGTCTCAAAAAACAAAACAAAACAAAAATATTTAATTCACCTGAACTTTAAAAAATATATAAATAGTCTAAATTTGTATTTTTACATGGGGTTTTTAATGGAGATGTACTGAATTAAAAGCTCATTTTGTCATATATAAGGCTCTTATGTGTACTTGGATGTAATTCTAGATTCCGTGCTCTATTCTCTAGATTTGCTTATTCATGTGCCAGTGCTATACTATTCTATTTTTTTTAAAGGTTTAAAACATTTATCACTAAAGATACTAGAATGTTCTTTGAAAACCTATTAAGACATTTAACTATTCTTTTATGCTATTCTGATCAAAAGAAAGAATAAAAGTTTAGGAAAGGGAAAAATGCACATTTCTTAAAAAAGTTTATTTCTAGCCCTGAAAGAACAAAATTATTGAACAAAGTCATAAAATACAGCAGTTAATGTCAATGTATAACAATTAAATAATTGAATGGGATTAAATTAAAAATAAAAGACATTATAAAATTTGAAGACAACAGAAAAGACAAACTATAATTTTACTTAATTCCATTTCTATCACAACAAGAAAAAAAAGCCAATGCGTTCCAACCAAAGATGCTGAATTCCAAACATAATTGTTTCTCTTAATAAAGAATAGAAGTGTGCTTGACAGAATTATCATCCATTTCTTTCTGCCTCTGTCTTGGCAGCATTCTAGAGAAGTGAATGGGAAAGACTTCCGTTCTTTCAAGGCCAGGCCAGTGCTTGCTTCTTCTTTCTAACTCCAACCTCGTCTACCACAGCATCTTTGCCAGAGTGTTCAATCAGTGTGTTGACTGAGAAAAAAGAATGTGTGTATATATTTTTTCTTATATACACACACTATCAAAAAACTGATTTCACCAGTTTCAATACCTACTGTGGGAGCAGCAGAGACAGGAAGACAATCTGCTTCTTGTATTACTATGAAGTTCCACTATAAAAAACCCCAAATGAGTATTAATCTGGATTTTAGCTATAATCTATAATATTTTGACACTGACATTTCACTAGATGTGGATCTCAGTATATTTAAAAAGATTTAGACTCAAAAATGGATGCAAATTCTTTAAGCATCTATTTTGTTTTTTTCTAATTTTAGCTACTACCTGATCAGATCTAAAATTATTCTGGCTAGAATACAGTATATACAAACGTATTTAAGTGAGCCCTATAAAGAAATACTCATAGGTAGTTTAAAATTTCTTGTTAAAGGCACAGGCTCGTTTACAGTTGGTGGTTACTAGACTCTAAGCAGCTTAACATTTATATGTTAAAGGGAAGAGAATTAGTACTATGTGCCAGGCACTCGACACATGAAGACAGAGTTGTATTAGCCTCGGTGTCTTACGCTTCACAATTACTCATTTACTATTCTAGGTAGGATAAAATGTTCCATGTTTCATAGTTTCCCAGTTTTAACTGTCCCTAAAAGCAGCAGAAGAAAAAAGAAAAAGTCTAAAATATAATAAATAAGTACTATAGTAACACTGTCCTAATAACACAAGAGGACTATTAAAGTAACTTTTAGATTTAAATGGGAATTTTCATTCTAAAGTGATGACAAAAAGGGTAAATATAAAAGGCAATTATTTAAAAAACATGAGGCCAGGTGTAGTGGCTCGTGCCTGTAATTGTAGCACTTTGGGAGGCCAAGGTGGGCAGATTGCCTGAGCTCAGGAGTTGGAGACAAGCCTGGGCAACATGGTGAGACTCTGTCTCTACTAAAAATACAAAAAATTAGCTGGGTGTGGTGGCACGCACCTGTGGTCTCAGCTACTCAGGAGGCTGAGGCATGAGAATTGCTTGAACCCAGGAAGCGGAGGTTGCAGTGAGCTGAGATCATGCCACTGCGCTCCAGCCTAAGTGACAGAGTGAGACTCTGTATCAAAAAAAATAAATAAATAAAAAAAAATAAAAAACATGAATCTTGATTCAGATATAATTTTTCTTTCAACAAGTTCTCAATGTTTTAATTTAAAATTAATAAATCACAATTCTGTATTGCTTTTAAGATTTTGTTTAAAAATGACACATCTCAAAATTAACCAAACTATATTTCTGCTAGAGGTTAGTTTATCCATGTAACTTAAGAATAAACCACAGTGTAGCTCCCTTAACCAAAGAGCCAGGTTTTAATGACTGAAGTCAGCTGCCAGCAATGGACATGCAGGTAACTATCGAAGAAGTTGTAGCTACAAATCCCAAACTGCTTCTATCAATGGAAAAGCCCTTTGTTGAGTCACAAGCCTGAAGTGAGGCCTTGGCACATAGTCAGTGAGAATGGTCTTTGACTTAGAAGGGAAGTGCCTCTGAGTGCATGAGGATCACAGTCTTCTCATCTCGTTGGTTTTCTATTTCATTGGTAGCATCTTCTTTATCATAATCCATCCGTTTACAAAGAATGTTAAAATTTGGAACTCAGGTGGCACTGCAGCTTTCTGACAGAAATAAACCAGTTTCTGTAATTCAGTAATAGCTGTAGAAGGCCAATATATTCCAGAGAAAAATGAAATCAAGAATTATATTGAAAACAGAGACCACTAAGTGCTCTAAATATGTTTCATTAATTATTTTACTCATTTTTCTGAAAATCTTGCCTTATCAATAAAAAACAGTCACTTCTCTCCTTATAATTGTATCTTATCATAGATATAGTGGGAATAAAATAATGGAAATAAAACCCTGCTAGTTTCCCCAATGTATACTACAACAGCAAAATTATTTTTTATTCATGATTTATACTACTGCAGGATGGCAAGCAGGGGGGAAGTTAATGGGGGAAGGGGATGGTGGGAACAAAATGCCAGAACCAAACCAAATACTTGAACAACCTATTCCAAAGCAAAACAATGAATAAAGGAGAAGGAGAGGAGATGAAAGAAGAGAAGAGAAAGGGAGGGGAGGGGAGAAGGGAGGGCACTCAAATAATTAATGCTACAGGTCTCAGATCTTTCAGAATCTTTAAAAGAAACAAATTATTGCTCTCAACACGCACATTTCATTTTCCTTTCTTGTTTTTTTACATTAATAGTCTCTACCTATTTGAAAACAAAACAAAAGTAACTCAACATCTCAAATGATCTATAAATTCATCAAGAAATACTCTGTCGCTCAAGTTCTCATAGATAATACCACACTGATGATGACCTGGAGCAATGCCGCCGCCTCCAAGTCTCTACAGTTGATTTCCTATCGGCTGCTTCTCTGTAACACTAACATTCTCTTTCATGAGTATAATCTCTTCTCACTATATCAGAGATCACCAAGGTTCACGTCTCTCACTCTGCGCCTGCTAGTCCCAAATATTGTTCTCCTTTAAGTGGAAAAAAGCTAATTTTAAATTCCCGAAAATTCACTGGTTATTATATTATTTGCCATGGGAGGGGGGTATCTGTGAGGTGAGAGAGGATTAATGAAAAACAAAAAGAACAAAAATAAACCTAAAATTGCAACATATACAGAAATTTATTTCCAAATTGAAGGGGGAAAGGAGGGAAGAAGGTAGTGGCACTAACCAAAGTCACAAAGCCCAGGTTGGAACAAGAACAAATCACTTTGGTTCCTAGAGCCAAGCCTGAAGGGGAAACAGGCAGAAGGGAAGACGAAATGGGAAGAAATACACGGTCAATGGGAATCTTTTTCTATCTCAATGATTTAGTTATAAATAGAGATTATTAGTCTTCTCTCTATACATGTAACAAATGCCAAACTTACTACCACAAAATTTCTAAAACTGACTTTTTCACATTTGTTAAAAAAGGTAAAAATCAAATACTTTTCTTCCCTTCCTTCAGGTCAAGTTCTGAACTAAAATATTACATGTAACAACAGCTGGTCCTAACTTTTATAAAAAGTGAAACTATATAGAGCTCCTTTGCCAACATAAGGAGCTACATAATTTCTATTACACTTACCTAGGCATGAGAAACTCAAAAGCAACTCAAAAGGAGCAAGTCCAGGAAAAGGAAAGCTATGAAGGAGAGAAAGACTAGCAGATGAAACAAATACTCTGAAAAACTCCAATCTGCCATTCAAGTATTGGAAATACCCCAAAGGGGACAATGAATGGGATCTATTACAACAAAGTCAGCAAAGTAAAATGCAAATCTCACATATGATAAATGGCCCTGATAGGCGGTTTGCTGAAAGACCTAAGGCTAGTGATTCAGTCCACAATTCCTTTTGGACCCTAAAGAAGGGGTTCATATAAAAGTCATACTTTTCTTTTTGCAATTTTCTCTTGGTTGTCTTCAGAGAATAGTCATTTGCTTCTTTCATTCAGGTTATGCAGACCATTTCTTTAAACCCCCAAAAGAGTAATAATTTTCATATACTAAAAGGCTTCTTGTAGAAAATGGAAAAAAGAATATGAGGCCACAGCAGTGATGTTAACGGTTACTCTTCATTGCTTCTTTAGCTGCCATGATCAGTGGTGTCAAGCTAGATAACAGTTTGGCTAGTTTCAGGAAAAGATGCTGTAATAATTCTTTGGCTGAACCCCTTTTTTCCACATCTGTTTCCAAACATCGATTTAAGAAATCCCGAAATATTGGGGAAAGTGTCTCTGGATTCTGAAGTTCTGGGATTCCATTAGTTGCTATTAGGCACAAGGCCCTCAAGGGATTTTCATTGAGGTATGGAGGCTCTCCTTCTACCATCTCAGTAGCCATGATACCCAGAGACCATACATTGACTTTAGGGCCATAAGCCTTCCGTGTAACCACTTCTGGTGCCATCCAGTATGGCGTTCTGACCACGGTACTGCGTTTGCTCTGCTCAGGGGTGATCTGGGCACAGAAACCAAAGTCAGTGAGCTTAACCGATCCTTCCATTCCCAAAAGTACACTGTCACTTTTGATGTCTCTGTGGATCACTTGATTAGCATGTAAAAACTCCAATGCCTGTAAACTCTCTCTGCATACAGCGGCAATCTGTGCTTCATCCATGCAGGTTTCTGTTACCACATCAGTGAGTGACCCCCTAGCAAGGTATTCCACGACCACAAACAATTCATCTCCTACCAGGTAACTGTCCAAGAAGTTAACTATGTTGGGATTTTTTAATTCTTTCATTACCAGAATCTCATTAATGATCAATTCCTTCTTTGGCTGTTTCTGTAAATTAATTTGTTTGATAGCAACCTTCTGTCCCAGTGCAACGTCAGTAGCAGTGAAAACTGTACCAGAAGCCCCTTGTCCAATTTTTTCATATCTTGTATATTTTTTTCTTAGGGTCACCTATGCTCACAATAGTTCTTAGTTTCTCCATAATCTCTTCATCTGTCATCTTAGTCTTCTTTTTCTGTTTGTCTAAAGACTTGGCACCACCATCAACATTTGAATCACCAACTGGTGCAGGAACAGGGTCAATTACAGACCGTGTGTAAATTGATTTCATATGATCCGGTGGTGGGGCAATAATGGGAGGGGCAGTCTCTTCATCATCGTCCTCCTCCTCTGTCACTACTGCAGGTGCTTCTGTTCCCTCGGCATTCAGTGCTGGTGTTCCAGAAGGGAAGCCATCTTTCTCAGGAGGAGTAAAACTCAGATACTTCTGCTTCACTGTGTTGGAGTCGTAGACATCCAGCACAGCCTGAGGATTCTTCTTTTGCTCTAGTTTGGTGATATTTGAGGTCTGTAGTAATCGAGCCCAGTGTTCTGGCATGCCAGTGAATTCTCCAGTAACAGCATCAAAGCCAACATGGATGGTGTGTTCAAAATCAGATGGAGGAGAAATTTCTGGCCGTTCCTTTTCTTTCTTTTTACTTCCTTTCTCTGTGCCTGAGAATATGGAGATGATTTTATGCCTGGGCTTTTTCTCCTCTGGAACAGAAGGCAAAGGTTTCAAACTGTGATTGGCTGACAAAGGGTCTTTGCCCCCAGTGCTAAAGATGGTCCTGCTCATTCGCACGGGAGGTGCTGGAGGCTTGTCTTCCAGTTCTCTGTTATCACACATGATTCAGAATTATGAAATGGCCCCAGGTGAGGCAAGTTCCCCACCCCAGTGAGGCACCTTGGTCAGAGCTCCTGGGAGGTTGCGGAGGCGCCTGGTACCAAAACAGAGATATAGACCAATGGAACAGAACAGAGCCCTCAGAAATAATACCACACATCTATAACCATCTGATCTTTGACAAACCTGACAAAAACAAGAAATGAGGAAAGGATTCCCGATTTAATAAATGGTGCTGGGAAAACTGGCTAGCCATATGTAGAAAGCTGAAACTGGACCCCTTCCTTACACCTTATACAAAAATTAATTCAAGATGGATTAAAGACTTACATGTTAGACCTAAAACCATAAAAACCCTAGAAGAAAACCTAGGCAATACCATTCAGGACATAGGCATGGGCAAGGGCTGCATGTCTAAAACACCAAAAGCAATGGCAACAAAAGCCAAAATTGACAAATGGGATCTAATTAAACTAAAGAGCTTCTGCACAGCAAAAGAAACTACCATCAGAGTGAACAGGCAACATACAGAATGAGAAAAATTTTTGCAATCTACTCATCTGACAAAGGGCTAATACCCAGAATCTATAATGAACTCAAACAAATTTACAAGAAAAAAACAACCCCATCAAAAAGTGGGTGAAGGACATGAACAGACACTTCTCAAAAGAAGACATTTATGCAGCCAAAAGACACATGAAAAAATGCTCATCATCACTGGCCATCAGAGAAATGCAAATCAAAACCGCAATGAGATACCATCTCACACCAGTTAGAATGGTGATCATTAAAAAGTCAGGAAACAACAAGTGCTAGAGAGGATGTGGAGAAATAGGAACACTTTTACACTGTTGGTGGGACTGTAAACTAGTTCAACCATTGTGGAAGTCAGTGTGGCGATTCCTCAGGGATCTAGAACTAGAAATACCATTTGACTCAGCCATCCCATTGCTGGGTATGTACCCAAAGGATTATAAATCATGCTGCTATAAAGACACATGCACACGTATGTTTATTGCGGCACTATTCACAGTAGCAAAGACTTGGAACTAACCCAAATGTCCAACAATGATAAACTGGATTAAGAAAATGTGGCACATATACACCATGGAATACTATGCAGCCATAGAAAATGATGAGTTCATGTCCCTTGCAGGGACATGGATGAAGCTGGAAACCATCATTCTCAGCAAACTATCGAAAGGACAAAAAACCAAACACCGCATGTTCTCACTCATAGGTGGGAACTGAACAATGAGAACACATGGACACAGGAAGGGGAACATCACACACTGGGGCCTGTTGTGGGGTGGGGGGAGGGGGGAGGGATAGCATTAGGAGATATGCCTAATGTTAAATGATGAGTTAATGGGTGGAGCACACCAACATGGCACATGTATACACATGTAACAAACCTGCACGTTGTGCACATGTACCCTAAAACTTAAAGTATAATAAAAAATAAAAACATACAACCAAACAAAAAAAAGAATGCTGGAAAAGCACAAATGTAACGTTTTATGTGGTGGGACAGCCCTTTCAAAAGTGTTTTCCACTGCTTATACTGATGAAGGTAGAAAAAAATTTCACTTATTTTAACTCTTCCTTTAAAAACTTCTTCTTGGTGGCTCATGTCATGCATACTCCACAAGTCCTGGAAGTTAAATGCTCTTAAATATTTGATGGTCTGGTCTTAGCAAAACGGCAGGTTTTTACTTTTACATTTTTAGCTATGTTTTAAATTATTTGTAATCCAGACACTGAAGTTTTATTTTGTTGTGAATTGAATCTGGGCAGAGTGTACAAGGGATCTCTCTGTATTATTTTTACAACTACATGTGAATCTATAATTATCTCATCAAAAATTCACTGAAAAAGGTATCACGGAGCCCATGTTTGCTGTTACCGTCTTTGCTCCTCCCAGGTTACAATGCCCCGTGCCTCTCAGTGCACAGTGAAAATGCAGCAGACGTTTTTGATGTGAGCTCCACGGAATGGATCCAGACTGTCCCCTTCAACAAGGTAATTTGACCTTAAGATTATGCAACTAATGAGTTAATGACTGAAACGCGGAAACAGAAATAATCCATTGTACATTTACTGTAATGGGTACTTGCTAGTTTGGAGGCTTAACAAAGAGTATAAAAAACAAAACCCTACAAAACATTATATTGATTAATTGCATTACTAGTACTAGAGCCATTTGTGACATCTAGTTCCATTATATAAAGTAGTATTGTTATAGATAAATATATTATTTATTTATACCATACAGCACAGCAGTTATTTCCCATATTCAGTTTAAAGTTACTTTATCAGTAATTTTTACTTACCAGTATAATTTGTTCCTTTTATACTTACCAGTATAAAAAGGAACACTTTACAGGGTAAAAGGAACATTTTTACAGGGTAAAAAAAGAAAAAAGCATATAACCAAGGCTGTGTTTCAGATTCTCAGTAGGATCTCACAATGGTGATGTTTTGCAAAACAAGGACATTGACAGTAACTCCATCTACTTACCTTAGGCAGATTTTCCTAGTTTTACTTTCACTGTGTGTGTATTAATGTCTGTATAATTCTACCACCTGTGTGAATTCATGTATCCACCACTAGTCAATATACTGAATGGCTCCAGCACCACAGTGGGTCCCTCAAGAGCCCTTTTATAATCACTCCCCCTCCCTCCCACCTCCTTCCGCTTTCCTAACCCCTGGCAATCAGTAACCTCCATTTCTAAAATTTTATCATTTCAAAAATGTCTAACAAATGGCGTTATATAGTATTCATGATTTTTATCTGCTAAGTCCAAATTTATTTTTCTAAAAAAAACAAACTTTGGATTAGAAACCCAGGAGAATCCCATTACAATATTCTTATCATATAGCAGCTACATCAAAAAATTTTTGGAATATATACAGTTCAAATAAATAGACAAAAACAAGTGATGCCCATCAGTCAGATGATAGAGTAACTTCAATTCATATGGTCCAAGTCTGACAAAAATGCATTCTAACACCTGCATCTAACACCAGCTTTATTGAATAATTTCATCACGTTTCAAAATCTGTGTCTCCTAGACCAGTTGAGCTCACAACAAAAAGCAATTGTAGAGAGTTAGAAAAATATATGAAATTAGTGAACAAAACAGTGAAACCTTCCAACCAGGAATGTTTTTGGAACTTTCTTTGTTAGTAATAGTTCCTTATGGTTCCTAAATATTCAACCTCCCAGCATGAATGTGTCTCCCATCAAAAGAGCCACAGAATAAACACAACCTCTTTTTTCAACATCCCTCTTCCTATGCTCACGTCTCCCATCTTTTTCCCTTGTCTTACAGCCAAATTCCTGAAATTGTTATTGATATTCCTTGCCCTCCACTTCCCACCCCTATTCACACCTCCATCACAGGGCAATCTGACTTACACCTTAATCACTCCATTAAAGCTGCTCTCATACAAGTTATCAGCCATCAGTTGTGAAAACCATCTGACCTGTTTGTCTCTTCTTGGCTGCCCAGCGACACCTGACCCTTCTTTCTTCAGTCCCCACGCTGCTGCTCCCTCGATTTTCCCCACTTCCCTGAATTCTCCTTCCCTGTTTTCTCTGCTCCTCTTCCTCTGGTCGAAGCCCTCTTCCTTTCTCGCTCTGCTTACTCAGCATGTCCAAAGAGTCAGGCTGACACTACCAGAAGCGAGTCATCGATTTTAGCGTGACAAGTGGGATGGCTAGAGATTGTGTGCCATGCACAGTACTGTTCATGAAGTGTTCCTACAACCAGGCTTTAGAGCTCCTTCCCCATTATAGGAAATTCAGGGCATAGAAGTGAAGCAGTATCATGAGGGAGAACAAAGACAGGTGCAGATTGTGGGACATTATGAAGGACAACAAATCAGTGGCAGGGAGGACTGCTCAGGATGAGAGGACCTTTGTGAGAAAGTGGTGTGCAGGGTGGACCTTGTCAGGATTCTGATTCCAATAGACAGACTGCAAAAAGAGAAATACTTGTGATAATCAAGTATGTATGACTGTGGACTATGTATGGGATGATAATCAGAATCATTGAGTACATCTTCAGGAGCGATCACAGCAATGTGATTATGGGAGAAAGTGTCCCTACTTTTAGTGATACATGTTCAAATGTGTAGAGATGGAACAACATGATGTCAGGGATTTGACTTGAAATATTCCAACAACACAACAACAAAGAAAATACTTCAATGGTCACATCTCTTCCTCCATACCCGCCTAGATCTGCTCCACCTTGTGTTTTATGACCTCAGAGTCTATCAGTGGCCTCCGCCCCTTTGCTCAAGTTGGAAACCTGAGAATCATTGCTGATTCTCTTACATGTCAGCTTCCACTTCCAACCAAGTGTGAAGCTTTTGCAATTTTATCTCCTCAATATTCCTCATATCCTCTCCTCTCCATCCCCACCGCTACTATCATACATAATTTTAATTCACAATTTCTCCCGTAACCCCCTAACTGGTCTCTTAGCCTCCAGTAAGTAGTAATTGAATTCCCTTAATTACTAGTGGTGTGGAGCATTCATTTGTGCGCTTATTTGCCACATGTATCTTCTTTGTTGAGGAACCTGTTCAAATACTCCGCCCATTTTAAAAATTTGGGTTGAGTTGGGGAGCGGTGGCTCACACCTGTTATTTCACCACTTGGGAGGCCAAGGTGGGTGGATCACCTGAGGTCAGTTCAAGACCAGCCTGGCCAACATGGTGAAACCTCGTCTCTACAAAAATACAAAAATTAGCCAGGCATGATGGCGGGTGCCTGTAATCCCAGCTACTCGCAGGGGTGGGAGTGGGGGATTGGGAGGCTGAGGGGGGAGAATCGCTTGAATCTGGGAAGCTGAGGTCACAGTGAGCTGAGATTGTGCCATTCCACACCAGCCTAGGCAGCAGAGCAAGACTCCATCTGAAAAAAATAAAATTTGGGTTATTTATTTTCTTATTATTGAGTTTTTAAAATTCTTCATACATTCTGGATACAAGGTTTTTTTGTCATATCTGATTTGCAAATATTTTCTCCAAATCTGTGACTTGTTTACTTCTCTTAGCAGTAAATTTCAAAGAACAGAAATTTTTAATTTTATCAATTTTTTATTTTTATTTTTATTTTGAGACAGAGTCTCACTCTGTCGCCAGGCTGGAGTGCAGTGGTGCGATCTCGGCTCACTGCAACCTCCGCCTCCCAGGTTCGAGGGATTCTCCTGCCTCAGCCTCCCGAGTAGCTGGGACTACAGGTCCCAGCTCGTATAGCCAGCACGCCCAGCTAATTTTAGTATTTTTAGTAGAGAAGGGGTTTCACCATGTTGGTCAGGATGGTCTCAATCTCTTGACCTTGTGATCCACCTGCTTCTGCCTTCCAAAGTGTGGGGATTACAGGCATGAATCAACGTGGCTGGCCCCAAACTTTTATCACATTTTTAAAAGTTTTATACATTGTGCTTTGATGTTGTATCAAAGAATTGTTTGCCTTATCCAAAATCAGAAAGATTTTCTTCATTGTTTACTTTTAGGCACTTCCTAGTTTTAGGTTTACATTTAGTTACATGACCTATTTTGAATTAACTCTCATATATGCTAAGAAATATAGATAAAAGTTGATTTTTTTGCATATGGTTATCTGAGGTTCTAGCACAATTTGTTGACAGCTTTTGCAGCTTGTTGGAAATACTGTATATATTAAAGCAACAGAATAGAGGATCCTGCAATATATATCAGCAAATGTATAAACAGACACATAGATATAGAGATGGATATACACAAAATATTTTTGTATCTGTATATACAGTTCTGAATTTCATATCATATATATTATAGTTTTATTGTTGAAATCAGGTAAAGTTAATTTATCAAATTTGTTCTTTTTTCAGTTATTTTGGCTCTTCTAGATCGTTTGCATTTTCTTATGAATTTCAGAATCAGCTTGTCAATATCTACCAAAAAATATTAAAATCCTGCTAGAATTTTGACTAGGATTGTGTTGAAACTATCTATCAATTTGGGGAACATTTATGTTCTAAATATTGGTTTCCAGGGCATGAAGACAGTGTATCTCTCCATGTATTTGGGTTATCTTTAATGTTTCTCAGTATTCCACAGTTTTCAGTGTACAGGTCATGCACATCTTTTGTCAGATTTATTCCTAAGAGTTTAATATATTTTGATGCTACTTTAAATGGCATTGCTTTTAAAATTCCAATTTCTGGTTATTTGTTGCTAGTATAAAATGCAATTGGTTTTTGTATATTGTTCATGTATCCTGCAACCTTGCTAAACTCATTTATTAGTTCTAATAGCTTTTTTTGTATTTTATATTGAATTTTCTACATAGATGTTCATTTTGTCTGTGTGCAGTTTTGCTTCTTTCTTTCTATCCTGGACGTATTCTATCTCAGCTTCTTGGCTGGCTAGGATTTCCACAACAATGTTAAATGTAAGCGTGGTGAGAGCAAACATCCCATCTTGTTCCTGATAAGACAAACAAGAAAGCATTGAGTGTTTCGTTACTAACAATGATGTTAGCTGTAGGATTTTTCACAGATGCCTTTTATCAGGATGAGGAAGCTCCCTTCTAAATGTTCCAAATGTAAATATATGACTTCATCAAATGTATTTACTGCATCTATTGACATGATCATTTATTAATATGGTGCAATACATTGATTGATTTGAGGATGTTCAACCAACCAACTTTTCTGAGATACATTATATTTGTCCACGGTACAATATAATTTTTATGTATTGTTGGAACTGATTTGCTAACATTTTGTAAAGAACTTTTATATCTAAATTCAAAAAGAATATTTGTTTATAGTTTTTTTGTAATATCTTAGTCTAGCTTTGGTATCAAGGTGATACTAGCCTTATAAAATAAGTTGGTAACCAGTTCCTACTCTTCAATTTTCTGAAAGAGTTTAAGTATAATTGGTAATATTTCTTCCTTAGAGGTTTGAACAAAAAACTTCAGAGAAGCAATCTGGGGTTAGAGTTTCCTTTGTAGGATGAGCATTTAATTAAAATTCAATTACTTCAATAAATATAGAGTTATTCAATTATCTGATTCTTCTTGAGTGAGCTATAGCAATTTGTATCTTTCAAAAAAAATTCTCATTTCATCTCAGTTACAAAATTTATTAGGTAATGCTGTACACAGTATTCCCTTACTCCATTTTTAATTTTTACAAAATCTGTGCTGATATAGTTTCTTTCATACCTGATATTAGGAATTTGTCTCTTTTTTGTTTTGATGATCAGCCTGCTGGAAGTTTATAAATATTTGGTTTCATAGATTTTTCTCTATTTTTTTTTTGTTTTATTGATGTTCACTCTGATCTCTAGTATTTCCAAAATTGTTTTTTGTGTTTAATTTGCTCTTGTTTTTCCAATTATTAAGGCAGAAGCTGGGGTAGTTAATTAATCTAAAATCTATTCTCTTTTCTACTATAGTGTTTAATCCCATAATTTTACACATAAATATTGCCTTATCAGCATTCCACACATTTTGAAATATTGTTTTCACTCTCACTTAGCTGAAAATGCATTGGTTTCTCTTTTGAAATCTTCTTTAGCCCTTGCAATATGTAGACATGTGTAATTTATCATCTTAATACTTGACGTTTTTCCAGAAAAGTTATTATTATTAACTTCTAATTTATTTCCAATGTGGTCCAAGAACATACTTCATAGGACTTAAATCACTCCAAATATTCTGAGACTTGCTTTCTGGCACAGAATGTATTCTATCTTGATAAATATTCTGTGTTTGCTTGAGAAGAGTTTATATTATGTGACTGTCAGGTGGACTGATTTATAAATATCAATAAAATCAAGTTATTTGATAGTTTTATTTTTTTAAGTCTGCTGTATCTTCACTGATTTTTTTTCTACTTGTTCTACTAATTATTGATAGTGAGTATTGTAATCCCCAACTATAACTGTGGAGAAATAGACAACTATTTCTCTTT
This sequence comes from Homo sapiens, assembly GCF_000001405.40. Lineage (NCBI taxonomy): Eukaryota > Metazoa > Chordata > Mammalia > Primates > Hominidae > Homo > Homo sapiens. The sequence goes on from NC_000015.10 coordinate 21,303,199, forward strand.
TGAGTTCTATTGGTGTTTGTTTCGTTTGTGTTGAAGCTCTGTGATGACATACGTAGTGCTTGTTATTCTTAGAATTATCACGTCCTCCTGAGAAGCGGACCCTGTTCTCCTTATAAAACGACATTCTTCATCCCTGATATTCTCTTATCTGATGTCTACTTTATCTGATATGAATATAGCCACTCCAGCTTTCATTTGATTCATGGTAACTCTTTTTCAATCTTTTACTTTTAATATGTTTGTATCTTTACATTTAAAATGTCTTTCTCACAGGCAGCATGTACTTGGGTCTTCATTTTTTTCATCAAAGCTGACAATCTCTCCTTTTAATTGGGATGCTTAGAACATTTAACAAGATTTTTGAAATGGTTATGTTACACCTGTGATCTTGTTATTCATCTTTTACTCAATCCATCTGTTCTTTGCTCCCCTTTCCTGTTTAGTGCCCTGTTTTGGATTTTGTTGTTGTTGTTGTTATTCCATCTCATCTTCTTTGTTGGCTTATATGATAACAAAACTTTTTGTTTTGTTATTTCAGTGGTTGCTTTACAACTCTAAGTTACTGCAGCCTACTTTCACATGTTATCTTACTTCATGTGTGGTGTAAGAACCTTCCAGTAACATGCTTTCATTTTTCCTTTCCTGGCCTTTCGCTATTGTTGTCCTGCATTTCACTTACACATAAATTACAAACTACACAAAACACTGTTGTTATTTCTGTATAAAATTCAATTATTATTTCAAGATTTTTTAATGGAGGGGTCTTATACATCTTCCTATACAGTTACTTTCCAGAGCTCTTCATCCTTTATTACAGATCAATATTTCCATCTGATATCATCTTTCTTCTGCCTGAGGAGTTCCTATTTTATTTCCTGTGCAGCAGGTCTGTTGGTGATACGTTCTTACAGTTTTTTTCTGCCTGGATATATCTTTATTTCCCCTTCATTTTGGAAAGTTATTTACACTGGTTACAGAATTCAGAGTTAACAGTATGTCCTCTTTTAGAATTTAAAATATTTTTTCTATATCCTCCCAGATTCTGGTATCTGTGATGAGAACTCTGGCAGCATCCTTTGTTAATCTTTATGTATGGTGTGTCCCATCCCTCTATGTCTGTATCACTAGGGTTCAATACTTTGATTACTATGAACCTTTGTGGAGTTCTTCATATTTCTTATAGGTGGGCTTTACTGAGTTTCTTGGATAAGAGATTTATAGTTTATATCAAATTTGAAAACATTTTGGCCATTTTTTTGTATTATTTTTTCTGTCCCTCCTCTTTTCAGTCCTTCTAGGACTCAAATTACATGTATTATTGGCTGCTTGAAGGTGTTCTACAGTTTAGTTTCTTAAAATCCTTTTACTCTATTTCCTTTTGGATAGTTTTTATTGCTATGTCTTGTATTTGGCAATGTTTAATCTGCTATTAATCATGTTCCGTGTATTTTTCATCTCAAATTTATAAGAGTTTTTGGGTGGGCATGGTGGCTCACACCTGTAATCCCAGCCTTTTGGGAGACTGAAGTGGGCTGATCATTTGAGCTCAGGAGTTTGAGACCAGCCTGGGCAACAAGATAAAACCCCATGTTTACAAAAATTAGCCAGGTGTGGTGGCACATGCCTGTAGTCCCACCTACTCAGGAGGCTGAAGTTGAGGATAGCTTAAGCCCAGAAGGCAGAGGTTACAGTGAGCCGAGATCACGCCACTGCACTCCAGCCTGGACGACATAGCCAGACCCTGTCAAAAAAAAAACAAAAACTTTCATAACCAATTATATAACCATTCTACTACTTAGAGGAACAAAAAAGTCAATAATTCACGATTTAAAAGCTACTAAAAACATAAAATATAAAACTATGCACTAAGGAGTTTTATATATAAATTTACCCATTAAATAAATATGTGTATGTACTTCTTTAATTTAAAAAATTCTAATGACTTACAGTTTATACCACAAGATTATTTATACAAACAGATTATTCTCATTCCAGAGTGGGCTTTTTGGGGGATGAAGTTTACTAAGCAATTTACAATGTTCTGTGAAAATCATCAGCTTTTTCAGGTTCTGTAGTAAAGTTATAAAAGTTCTAGGCACCATATCTTTTTAAACCATAAGAAAATACGAGGGCACATGTGTGTATGTATGTATGCATGAATGCTTTTATGGCAGTTTTATTCGTAATTACCAAAAACTGGAAACAACCCAAATGAACTGGGGAATGAATACAGAACCTGTTGTACATCCATACAACGCAATGCTACTAAGCAACAGAAAGTAATTACTGATACATAAAAACATGGATGAATCTCAAAATACATTAGGTTAAATAAAAGACGTCCGTCTCAAGAAGCCACATACTGAGTCAAGCAGGGGGATCCCTTGAGACCAGGAGCTTGAGGCCAGCATAGGCAATATAACAAGGCCTCCCATTTCTATTAAACAAACAAAAATTAAAACAAAAAGGCTAAATACTGCGTGATTTTGTTTACACGGAATTCTGAAAAGAAAAAAAAAAAAGACAAGACAGAGGAAAAAACAGATCAGTGGTGGCCAGAGACTAGAGGTAAGGAAATGGGCTGACTATGGAAAGGGGCATGAGGAAATTTTTTGAGAAACTAACTCTATATCTTGATCATCATGGTGGTTGCACAACTAGATGTGTTTCCCAGTCTTACAGAACCATATTCAAATACACCTTAATAAAGATAATTTTCAACCATACATATGATAGAATCATAATTATTACTCTTATACTAAGACCAAATAGATGCTGCTTAAACCACTGAGGCAAGAACACTAAACCTTGGTCTGATCTGCCTCCAAGTTTGAAAACTCCCTTCCATTAACATTTTGCCTAAAAATTAAACAATATTTGTAAATTAGTCACAAAATCCTTTAAGATTAAAATATACATATATTCTTAAAGAAAACTACCTAGTGCTTGCAACCAAGTCATTTTAGGAGAAAATTAGCTTTGTTAAGAAGGGAATAAAGCCCAAGTAATAAATATTAACATCCATCTTTTCCAGAATCATGATGGTCAAAACAATGAGACTCTTCTCCTAATTTTGGTTCAAAATACCAAAATTTTTACTTCAAAAACTCTCTAACAGATTATTATAAAATCTTAACATTTGCCTAAAAGTCTTTAAGTATTTTCACATAACTAGGCAGTATAACAAAAAAAGAGCACAGGCTTAGGCTGGATGCAGTGGCTCACACCTGTAATCCTAGCATTTTGGGAGGCCAAGGCAGATCGCTTGAGTCCAGCAGTTTGAGACCAGTCTGGGAAATGTGGCAAAACCCCGTCTCTATAAAATACATTAAAACGTGGCCCATACCTGTAGTCCCAGCTACTTCAGGGGATGAGGCAGGAGGATGGCTTGAGCCTTAGAGACAGAGGCTGCAGTGAGCCAAGATCACGCCACTCACTCCACTCTGGGTGATAGAGTGGGACCCTTTCTCAAAAAAAAAATTTTTTTTAAAGCACAGGCTCAAGAACTCAACCCACCTAGGCAAGTTATTTAACCTAATTTTCCATCGATTGTATCATCAGTAAAATTGGGATAATTTTACCTACCTCTAGGAATAATCCTAGACTATTACATGAGTTAACACATGTATTATAATAAATCACAGGGTAATGCCTGGCATAGTTAACTAAGTCTCAATACCAACCTAACATAAATGAATGACACCAATAATCACCAGCTGTGTAGTCTTTGCATACCACAATTCTGCCCTGTAAGGTAAGTGGCCTAAATTCAATGGCCTAAATAAAGACCTATCTAGTAATACTACTCTATATTCCTATTATTTTACCTGAATTGCACCTACCTAATTCAGTTTGCAAAAGAAAGGTTAAGTATTATACCTCTTATATATAAAAAAGTGAACTATAAATAAGTTAAATGACTTATCCAAAGAAACAGTAACTTGAAGGCAGAGCCAAGATGAGGATTTGGTATTGAGACTCCTTAAAACTTTGTCCTCTCCAAAATTTTTAGCCCTCCATGAATTCCTTCCCTCCTAACAAAGATACGGGTATAATGCACCCCCCAAAACCTCCAATTTAATAATTTAAAAATTTCATTAAGCTATACATTTGATTTGTGCACTCTTCTGTATGTTTTATATCATAATAGAAAGGTTAAGTGGCTTATTACCTAATACACTAGTATTCACTTGTATTCACATATGAATACATACACTTGTATTCACATATGAAGAGAAGTAGTGGAAAAGTTACATTAAAAGCTAAAAGGTGACAAACTAAGCAGATTATGTTCTTTAAAATTTTGTGAGAGGCAAAAGTTTTTAACTGAGGTATATAATACATGTACAAAGAAGTGCACACTTCCTAAGTCTACTATTCAATGATTCTCATAAACTGAACACAACCATGAAATCATGACCCAGATCAAGACAGAGAACATTACCAGCACACCTACAATCTCCCTTGTCCTCATCACCAAAGATAACCATTATTCTGATTCCATTCCCATCTGTTAGTTTTGTCTGTTTTTTAAGCTTTACAGAAATGGAGTGCTCGCTTCGGCAGCAAATATACTAAAATTGGAACAATACAGAGAACATTAGCGTGGTCCCTGCACAAGGATGACATGCAAATTGGTGAGGCTTTCCATCTTTTTATTATTACAGTAGTCTGTATTATTTCATATCCAAAAAAATGATCAATATGAAGAATGGGATGAACTAATTAATACTGTGATTGAAGACAATAGCATTATTTGCCTGGGAAACTAAAGACAAAACAACTGGAAAACTACTAAAACTGTTAAAGGAGTCAATTTGCTACTTATGGAATAAACATATACTGTATTCACAGTAACATATATTATGGAATTAAAATCACATTTCTGGCTGGGCACAGTGGCTCACATCTATAACCCCAGCACTCTGGGAGGCCAAGGTGGGAGGATCACTGGAGCTCAGGAGTTCAAGACCAGTGTGGGCAACATAGTGAAACTTCCAAAGAATAGGACTAACTCCACGTGTAGCATCTACATGTGGACAAGCAGGAGTGTTTCCTGATTAAATAACCTAAGTGTCATCTCCATGAATGCATGTATACAACTTTGTTGGATTGAAGGCTCCTCATCTCAACCCCACTGGAGGTAAATGCTATAAAAGTAAGTAATTCAAGAAAGTTTCATCCAAATTAACTCATGTAAAACAAAAACAAAACAAGAAAAATTTGCCACATCAAGGTAATGTTATAAAATGTGTAATGTAACTACTGTCTTTATTTGTGTCTCACTTACAAAGTAGATCTGAACTATGGATTACTACTACTTACTTTGATTAAAAAAACACTGATGTGAGATATTTTTGTAAATTTTCTTTACCCAAAGGTTCACTGCAGCCATAAAAAAGAACAAAATCATATCCTTTGCAGCAACATGATGCAGCTGGAGATCATCATCCTAAGCTAAACATTGGGTAAACATGGACATAAACATGGGAACAATAGATACAGGGAACTAACAGAGAGGAGAGGATGGGAAGGGGCGAAAGCTCAAAACTGCCTACTGGCAGCTGGGTACAGTAGCTCACGCCTATAATCCCAGCACTTTGGGAGGCCAAGGTGGGTGGATTGCTTGAGTCCAGGAGTTCGAGACCAGCCTGGGTAACAGGGCGAAACCCAGTCTCTACAAAAAAATACAAAAAATAGCAGGGTATGGTGGCCCACCACTGTAGTCCCAGCTACCCCGGAGGCTGAGCTGGGAGGATCGGCTGAGCCCAAGAGGTCAAAACTGCAGTGACCAGTGATTGCAATATTGCAATCCAGCCTGGGGGACAGAGACCTACCTTGTCTCAAAAAACTTAAACAAAACTACGTGCTGGGTGCTATGCTTACTACCTGGGTGATGGGATCAATTGTACCCCAAACCTCATGCAATATACCCATGTAACAAACCTGCACACTATTATTATTGCGAGAAACAGAGCTAATTTAGAACAATATATATAGCTTGACCCAATTTGAGGAAAAATTTTACATTTGTATATTTGTTGAAAACAACTATCAATAAAGAACTAAAATTGCATACTATTCATTCATATGACCGAATACTACACAGCTATTAAAATTAATGAAGTAAGGCAGGTGCAGTGGCTCACACTTGTAATCCCAGCTACTCGGGAGGCTGAGGCTCGAGAATCACTTGAAACTGGGAGATGGAGGTTGCCGTGAGCCAAGATTGTGCCACTGCTCTACAACCTGGGTGACAGAGTAGGACTCTGTTTCAAAATAATCATAATAATAATACTACTAATAATACACATATATCAGCATAAATAAATGTAACTTTCCAATTACAGAATGTATGTACCAAAATATCACATAAATTTGAAACACAATAGTACTACATGTTAAATATATGTAGATATTTGTAGGAAGAATATAAGTGCATGAGCTAAAAAGATAAATAACTTCTGCATAAGAAAATAGGATCTAAGAGGATGACAAAAGGGACTCCAACCGTATGCATATTTTATTTTTAAAAACAAATATAGGCCAGGCACAGTGGCTCACCCCTGTAATCCCAGTATTTTAGGGGGCCAAGACGGGCAGATCACTTGAGGTCGGTTGGAGACCAGCCTGGACAACATAGTGAAACCCCGTCTCTACTAAAAATACAAAAATTAGCCGGGAGTAGTGACAAGCTCCTATAATCCCAGCTACTCAAAAGGCCAAGGCACGAGAATTGCTTGAACTTGGGAGGTGGCGGTTGCAGTGAGCAGGGATTTTACCACTATACACCAGGCTAGGCAACAGAGTGAGACCCCATTTCAAAAATAATAAATAAAAACATATATAAATACACTTTTGAAGCAAATCTGATAAGATGTCAGCATCTATGAAATCTACTGAATGGGCTGGGTGCGGTGGCTCACGCCTGTAATACCAACACTTTGGGAGGCCAAGGTGGGCAGATCACGAAGTGAAGAGATAAGAGACCATCCTGGCCAACATGGTGAAACCCAGTCTCTACTAAAAATACAAAAATTAGCTGGGTGTGGTGGCGTGTGCCTGTAATCCCAGCTACTCAGGAGGCTGAGACAGGAGAATCACTTGAACCCAGGAGGCAGAGGTTGCAGTGAGCTGAAATTGCACCAGTGCACTCCAGCCTGAGCGACAGAGCGAGACTCCATCTCAAAAAAAAAAAAAAAAAAGGAAAGGAAAAAAGAAAAAAAATCTACTGAATTAGTACCTGGTGTTTGTTAAATTATTCTCCATATTTTTCTAAATTTTTGAAATATTTAAACTTTGCTCTAAAAAAGTCGAGATTTTGGAATTCAGAGACAGGCTTTGTAGATTCAGTACAGGATGTGTGTGTGTGTGTGTGTGTGTGTGTGTGTGTGTGATAAACCTGTTATTCTGTACTATAAAATTTCTAACTAAAAAAAAATTATATTAGGTTGGTGCAAATGTAGTTGCAGTTTTCGTATTGTTGAAACTTGCTATTTGATACTGGAATACATTCTTAAATATATGTGGTTATTTATATACCATTTTAATGCACATTTCTCACCTTTTTTGCTAATAACATATTATTTGCTGTTTTATTCTTTTAGACAGTGGAAATTATATTATAAAAAAAAGCAAATTCAAGCGATTTTCTTGAGTTCAAAATGGGTCGCAAAGCAGTGGAGACAACTCGCAACATCAACTACACACTTGGCCCAGGAACTGTGCAATGGTGGTTCAAGAAGTGTTGCAAAGGAGACGAGAGCCTTGAAGATGAGGAGTGTAGTAGCCGGCCAGAAGAAGTTGGCACTGACCAATTGAGAGCAATCATCGAAGCTGATCCTCTTACAACTACACGAGAAATTGCCGAAGAACTCAATGTCAACCATTCTACGCTTGTTTGGCAATTTAAGCAAGTTGGAAAGGTGCAAAAGCTTTTTTTTTTTTTTTTTTTTTTTTTGAGATGGAGTCTCACTCTATCACCTAGGCTGGAATGCAGTGGCACCATCTGGGCTCACTGTAACCTCTACTTCCCAGGTTAAAGTGATTCTCGTGCCTCAGCCTCCCTAGTTGCTGGGATTACAGGCACCCACCACCACACCCGATTACTTTTTGTATTTTTAGTAGAGCTGGGGTTTCACCATGTTGGCCAGGCTGGTCGTGAACTCCTGGCCTCAAGTGATCTGCCCGCCTCAGCCTCCGAAAGTACTGGGATTACAGGCGTGAGCCACCACGCCCTGCCAAAAGGTGAAAAAGCTTGATAAGTGGGTGCCTCATGAGCTGACCAAAAATTTTAAAAATCGTCGTTTTGAAGTGTTGTCTTCTCTTATTCTACATAACGACGACGAACCATTTCTTAGTTGGATTGTGACGTTTGACAAAAAGTGTATTTTATACAACAACAGTGATGACCAGCTCAGTGGTTGGACCGAGAAGATGCTCCAAAGCACTTCCTGAAGCCAAACTTTCATCAAAAAGAGGTCAGGGTCACTGTTTGGTGGTCTGCTCCTGGTCTGATCCGCTACAGCTTTCTGAATCATAGTAAAACCAATACATCTGAGAAGTATGCTCAGCAAATCGATGAGATGCACCGAAAACTGCGAGGCCTGCAGCTGGCACTGGTCCACAGAAAGGGTCCAGTTCTTCTCCACGACAACACCCGACAACATGTTGCACAACCAACATTTCAAAAGTTGAATGAATTGGGCTACAAAGTTTTGCCTCATTCACCATATTGAACTGACCTCTCACCAACCGACTACCACTTTTCCAAGCATCTAGAAAATTTTTTGCAGGGAAAATGCTTCCACAACCATCAGGATGCAGAAAATGCTTTCCAAGAGTTCATCGAATCCCGAAGCATGGATTTTTACGCTACAGGAATAAACAAACTTATTTCTCATTGGCAAAAAATGTGTTGATTGTAATGTTTCCTATTTTGATAAAGATGTGTTTGGGCCTAGTTATAATAATTTAAAATTCGTAATCCAAAACCACCATTAATTTTGTACCAACCTAACAGTACCTACATTTATTACCTCAACTGCTCTTCAACTTTCTTTTTTTGAGACAGAGTATCCCTCTGTCACCCAGGCTGGAGGGCAGTGGCACAAATCTCGGCTCACTGCAACCTCCACCTCCAGGGGTCAAGTGATTCTCCTGCCTCAGCCTCCTGAGTAGCTGGGATTACAGACGTCCACCACCACGCCCGGCTAATTTTTGTATTTTTAATAGAGACGGGGTTTTGCCATGTTGGCCACGCTGGTCTCAAACTCCTGATCTCATCTGTCCACCTTGGCCTCCCAAAGTGCTGGGATTATAGACATGAGCCACGGCGTTCAGCCTAATCTTACTCTTTAAAAGAATAAAGTAAGGGCAGACAATAACGAATGTCTTAACCCAGAAATCTCACCTTTTTGAATGATGTTCTCCATTCACAGAAGCATTTAAAACACTACAAGTGTGCAGTAAACAGCAAAAGCCAACAAGCTCTAATCACTTAAACTCTAGAGAATATATGACACAGCTCTTCCTAAAATATCACCAGATGGGTATATAAACGTAGAACGGCTTAACTCCCAGCTGTATATTAACACCAAATCTCCAATAAGCCTATACTGTCATAATAAAAATCATTTGCCTAAATCTCTTCCAATTCATATTAGATGTATTAATATAAACCATATCCTACCTGAGTTGCTACAACTCCACTTGATATTTAAAACACACCACAACACACAAGCACACAAACACACATACACGGATACAGAACTTGGGAGTTCAGGCTGAGTTCTGCATTTACAGAGTTCATAGAAACCAATTTTTCTTAAGGTATCTTTCATAATTCTCAATCAGCTTATTAAAAAGAGAAAAACTAGATGGCTCAGTCCTCTTGTGTTTAACTGTGATCAAATCCCACAATGTCTTCAGTCATAGTAGAGTTCACAATGATAAAGTTCAAATAAGCTTACCTGCCCCATTCCTCCCATACTACTTCCTACAGCTGCCACTCGTCTTAGGAACTGGAGCCAGTTAACCACCCACTTTCTCAATGGTGACTGTGACCTAAACCTTCACAAGACATCCAGTGAAAAATAAAGACTTTAAAATAGCAGTTTTTGGCTGAGCGTGGTGGCTCAGACCTGTAATCCCAGCACTTTGGAAGGCCATGGGCAGATCACCTGAGGTCAGGAGTTCAAGACCAGCCTGGCCAACATGGTGAAATCCCATCTCTACTAAAAAATACAAAAATTAGCTGGCTGTGGCCAGCTTGTGCCTGTAGTCTCATCTGCTTGGGAGGTCGAGACATGAGAATCGCTTGAACTTGGGAGGCAGAGGTTATAGTGAGCTGAGATCGCACCATTTCACTCCAGCCTGGGTGACAGAGTGAGACTCTGTCTTAAAAAATAAAAATAAAATAGCAATTTTTCCTACTTATAAAAGTAATACATGCTCATTGTAGAAAAATGGGAAACTATAGAAGAATAAGAAGCAAAAAAGCCACATTATCCCACCGAGACAGAAATTAATCACTACTAATATTTCCATTCATGGCAATCCAGGGTCTCTTCTGTATATCAAAGTGTATTAGTTCATTTACCAAACAGGATTTTAAGTACTGCAGAACAAGGGGGAAGTAGCATACTAATTCTTTGGAAGACTAATTTTCTTCAGTGTAAAGAAGTTACACTTACTGCTGAGTAAGTCAACCATATGTACAGGAAACTGGAGAGAATGACAAAGGTGAGGGAAATCATGCCTGCTTTTTCTTCATTCACTCACAGCAAACCATGGAGTCCATGTTTTGGGAACCATTATGTATGCAAAGACCAACTAATGAGTATGTTTCCTTTACAAATAGCAGCCTACTAAATAAACAAATACATACATACATATATACAAATATACAGTCTTGCCACAGGAGTTACACACACAGTGAAAGGAATGACATTAAGAGTATTTTTAAAATTATTATACTTTAAGTTTTAGGGTACATGTACACAACGTGCAGGTTAGTTACATATGTATACATGTGCCATGTTGGTGTGCTGCACCCATTAACTCGTCATTTAACATTAGGTATATCTCCTAATACTATCCCTCCCCGCTCCCCCCACCCCACAACAGGCCCTGGTGTGTGTGATGTTCTCCTTCCTGTGTCCATGTGTTCTCTTTGTTCAATTCCCACCTATGAGTGAGAACATGCGGTGTTTGTTTTTGTCCTTGCCATAGTTTGCTGAGAATGATGGTTTCCGGCCTCATCCATGTCCATACAAAGGACGTGAACTCATCATTTTTTATGGCTGCATAGTATTCCATGGTGTATATGTGCCACATTTTCTTAATCCAGTCTATCATTGTTGGACATTTGGATTGGTTCCAAGTCTTTGCTATTGTGAATAGTGCCGCAATAAACATACGTGTGCATGTGTCTTTATAGCAGCATGATTTATAATCCTTTGGGTATATACCCAGTAATGGGATTGCTGGGTCAAATAAATGGGATCTAATTAAACTAAAGAGCTTCTGCACAGCAAAAGAAACTACCATCAGAGTGAACAGGCAACATACAGAATGGGAGAAAATTTTTGCAATCTACTCATCTGACAAAGGGCTAATATCCAGAATCTACAATGAACTCAAACAGATTTACAAGAAAAAGACAAACAACCCCATCAAAAAGTGGGCGAAGGATATGGACAGACACTTCTCAGAAGAAGACATTTATGCAGCCAAAAGACACATGAAAAAATGCTCATCATCACTGGCCATCAGAGAAATGCAAATCAAAACCGCAATAAGATACCATCTCACACCAGTTAGAATGGCGATCATTAAAAAGTCAGGAAACAACAGGTGCTGGAGAGGATGTGGAGAAATAGGAACACTTTTACACTGGTGGTGGGACTGTAAACTAGTTCAACCATTGTGGAAGTCAGTGTGGTAATTCCTCAGGGATCTAGAACAAGAGTATGTTTTTTGTCACCATGAAAGTATCTTAAGAGACAGTAAAGGGATATGTGAAAGGTTGATCTAAAATTCATGACCTCTTCCACAAAAATAGTTTCTGTGCACATAAGATGAAGGAACAATCTAACTACGGAAAACGTAACTGTTGATTTTATAATGCTATAACTTATTTACACGTATAAATAAATATGCAGGAGTTTAAACAGTTAGTCCACAAATATGGATAGCTTACTCTGTACCAGGCAATGTATTAACTGCTAGGGAGTAAGGGAGAGAACAGCCACCAGTCCCTATTTCTGCAGAACTTTCAATCTGTCTCTTGAAGTATGATGTCAAACACTAGGCATGTGGCCTCAAGCAAGTCACAACAGTCCTGATTAAATGATGATCTCAAATCCTTGTGATGATCTAAGAAGATATATGTGAAAGTAGCTTATAAATCATGTTACCTAAAGTAAAAAGAGATATGTAGCCATTTGTGCAAAGCACTGTTTATAGCAATCATCTTCAATAGAAATTATCTTTATTTATTTGTTTATTTTTTGAGATGGAGACTCGCTCTGTCACCCAGGCTGGAGTGCAGTGGCGTGATCTCGGCTCACTGCCACCTCTGCCTCTGGGGTTTAGGCCATTCTCCTGCCTCAGCCTCCTAAGTAGCTGGGACTACAGGCACCCACCACCACGACTGGCTAATTTTTTGTATTTTTAGTAGAGATGGGGTTTCAACTGTGTTAGCCAGGATGGTCTCGATCTCCTGACCTTGTGATCCGCCCACCTTGGCCTCCCAAAGTGCTGGGATGGCAGGTGTGAGCCACCGCGCCCGGCCTCTCATTTCTTTTAACTGGCAAAAAATAATCACTCAAGTTGCTTAATATAATCTCTTTTGACAGTCTCTAAGATTTTGATATTATCTTTCTCTGCCAATGACCCATATGAAGTAACTGAAATTAATTTTCCCATGATGGGGGAGAAAAGATTCACTTTTTTCTAATACAAAAAGCTTTATTTCCTGATTTCATAATTTATAGGGGTTAGGGGGCAGGCAGCCACAGATCAAAAGCAACTTATTCAAACTCAAGAAAAAAATTATCTTTTAATCTAAGAATCACCATGGAAAGTTTGTTATAGGCTCAGGCTAATCCAAATAGTTAGTGACAGGTTAATTGTGGTACTTTGAAAGCAAAGGAGAGCAAGTAGCAATTATTCTTCCCTTCACTCAGTCTCTAACACCTAACCTCTTAAAAAACAGGGAGATATATATTATAGCCAAATTGCTTTCCAAAAAACATAATTTTTAAAAATATGCTCTACACAGTATCAACTGTTTGTATCTAAAAGAAATAGACTATTTACATTGCTTTTTATCCTACGATTTATCCTTTTCAAATTCAGCCACCTCAACGATGCAAAAAAGTATCAAACTGATGCTTTAAATTTATTTTTGCCCTTATTGCAGATACGACTCTAAAGAGCATGGGGAGTTTTTTTTTTTTTTTTTTTTTTGAGATGGAGTCTCGCTCTGTCACAGACGTTGGAGTGCCGTGGTGCAATCTCGGCTCACTGCAACCTCCACCTCCTGGGTTCAAGAGATTATCCTGCCTCAGCCTCCCGCGTAGCTGGAACTACAGGCGTGTGCCACCACGCCCAGCTAGCTTTTTGTAGTTTTGTAGAGATGGGGTTTCACCGTGTTAGCCAGGATGGTCTCAATCTCCTGACTTCATGATCCACCCGCCTCGGTCTCCCAAAGTGCTGGGATTACTGGCGTGAGCCACCATGCCCGGCCTAGCATGGGACATTTTAAAGGCATTCATAATCCAACTAAACAGGACCACCTGCAAAACTAGTGAAATGCCCAAAAACAAACATCTATAAATGCCCAATATTAAACCTCAAGGGTCTAAAGCAGTAGTATCCAAAGCAAGTATAACATACCTCCAGGAGATCGGGCATGGTGGCTCACACCTGGAATCCCAGCACTTTGGGAGGCTGAGGCTGGCGGATCACTTGAGCCCAGGAGTTCAAGACCAGCCTGACCAACATGGTGAAAACCCATCTCTACCAGAGAATACAAAAATTAACCAGGCATGGTGGCAGACACCTGTAATCCCAACTGCTCAAGTGGCTGAGGCACAAGAATCACTTGAACCCAGGAGGCGGAGGTTGTAGTGAGCCAAGATTACACCACTGCACACCAGTCTGGGTAACAGAGCAAGACTCTTGTCTCAAAAATATGTATATAGATCATATATTATTATATATACATATATATTATACATATACACACACACATACATATACACATGCGTGCACACACACACACCTCCAGGAGTACCCAAGAAGCCCCAGGGTAAAAAAGGAAAATATTTGAACTTTATTTTTAATTATCATCCTTGTTAATTTTTTGTTTGTATTTTAAAGTCCACAATAATCAGTTACTATATGTTTATTACTTGTAAATTAAATATCTAAGGATTAAGAACTGATGCTCAATATTTTTCTTTTTCTCTTTTTTCAAAGCAACAACATGAAGTTGTATCAATTTTTTTTTCTGACTTCATTCTTCCCATCCCATCAGTTTTTTGTTTTTTTTTTAAAGAGACAGGGTCTCACTATGTTGCCCAGGCTGGAGTACAGTGGCTGTATTCATAAGCACAATCACAGTGAACTTTAGCCTTGAACTCCTGACCTCAAATATCCTCCTGCCTAAGCCAACTACGTAGCTGGGACCACAGGACCAGGTACCACACCTGCTTAATGCTCAAAAGTTTTTGGTGATGGGGTAAGCAACCAAAGTTTGGAGACCACTGGTCTACACGACTCATTGTCACTGAACTTTCATTTTTATCAGCTCCCTCCCAAGAGTTAATCTATGGAAGTAAGTCCTGATGCTGAAAAAGAAACAGAAGAAAAACTGTTTCAAACTATTTTGAACTCCCAACAAGCTAAAGATGACAAATCACTAGCAAGAATATATGGAATTGAATACTAATATGCTGCTGACGGGAATTTCAAATAGACATCCTATCTAAAGGGCATCTTGAGTATATCCACATTTAAAACACACATACCTTTTGACCTAATAAGCCCTTTTTTTTTTTTTTTTTTTTTTTTTTTTTAGAATGAGTCTCACTCTGTCGCCCAGGCTGGAGTGCAGTAGCTTAATCTCGGCTCACTGCAGCCTCCGCCTCCCGGGTTCAAGTGATTCTCTGTGCGTCAGCCTTCCAAGTAGCTGGAATTATAGACCCTCGCCACCACACCAGACTAATTTTTGTATTTTAGTAGAGATGGGGTTTCACCATTTTGGCCAGGCTGGTCTTGAACTGCTGACCTCAGGTGATCCACCCACCCGCCTTGGCCTCCCAAAGTGCTGGGATTACAGGCATGAGCCACCATGCCTGGCTAATAAATCCGCTTTTAAGAATTTATCCTGGGCCAGGCGCGGTGGCTCAGGCCTGTAATTCTAGCACTTTGGGAGGCCAAGACGGCCGGATCACGAGGTCAGGAGATCGAGACCAGCCTGGCCAACATGGTAAAACCCCATCTCTACTGAAAATGCAAAAAATTAGCTGGGCGTGGCGGTGCACGGCTGTACTCCCAGCTACTCAGGAGGCTGAGGCAGGAGAATCACTTGAACCTGGGAGGCAGAGGCTGCAGTGAGCCAAGATCATACCACTGCACTCCAGCCTGGGTGACAGAGTGACTCTGTCTCAAAAAAAAAAAAATTATCCTAAGGAAATAATAGGACAATTCAATGCCCAAACAAGTTCATCACAGTACTACTTTAAGAGAAAAATTGGCAATATCCATTAACAACACAGAACTGCTATAAACTATGATGCATCCATATTATAGAACACTAAATACTCATTTACTCATTAAGGGGATATCAATTTTACATGGAAAGTTGTTCTTTTTTAAGGTATTTCAATAGGTATGCATAAGAAAAAAAATGAAAACACCAAACATCACATCCAGATGGGATTACAGGTTATCTCTACTTTTTTTAAAAAAGAAAAACATTAAAACTGTTCTGGGCCAGATGCATTGGCTCACGCCTGTAATCCTAGCACTTTAGGAGGCCAAGGCAGGTGAATCACCTGAGGTCAGGAGTTAGAAACCAGCCTGGCCAACATGGTGAAACCCTGTCTCTACTAAAAATACAAAAATTAGCCAGGTATGGTGGCGGGTACCTGTAATCCCAGCTACTCGGGAGGCTGAGGCAGCAGAATTGCTGGAACCCAGGAGGCAGAGGTTGCAGTGAGCTGAGAAAACGCCACTGCACTCCAGCCTGGGTGACACAATGAGACTCCATCTAAAAAAAAGTTCTGTAGCTTTCATAATCAGAAATAATTTCACTTTGAAATTTAAAATGAGATTAAGTTAAAACTCCAAATTATTGTCCTGTATCACTTCTAAAACTCTTTGTAAACACTCTGTCTTCCCATGTCATTTGTGGATCAGTCCAAATACTTAATCTAATATTTGGTTTATCTCATGGAAAAATGATAGGCATATAATAAACAACAACCCTGTTTCAAGTTAACCATCTTGTCTTTATACCAATTCTTGCCAGTTATGTCATGATTTATCAATATACTTATAACTTCCTTATATTCTGCCAGATTATAAATCTATGAATAATTCTGAAAATTATTCAGAAATTTCTATCTCTCTTCTGCAACTAAGTTACAAAAGTATTAACTACTTCGGGAGGCTGAGGCAGGGAGAATCACTTGAACCTGGGAGGCGGAGGTTGCAGTGAGGCGAGATCATGCCATTGCACTCCAGTCTGGGTGACAGAGCAAGACTCTGTCTCAAAAAATATATATATATATGTATTAACTACTAAAGAAATTAGATTTAGACCCCAGATAAGTGAAATCAGAAAAGCTTGCTACCATCTGTCACAACAGAATCATTCTGAATATCTATAGTTATCAGATCAAGACAATACCTGTGTGGTTAACAAGTACTCCACACTCCATCTTAAGGGAAAAGAGTACTTAAGAAGATTATTATAGCATAAGTTTATGTGCTTTGTTCATTAATTCAACAATTTAGAACAAAGCTATGAGGTATTTCACCGCTAACAGAATAGCTTTAAGGTAACCCATCTTCACAATTTTCTCTTTGTTTTCATTTGTTTCATGCCTTACTATTTTATAGACAGTCATTCTATCGGCATTGCACAAGTACTATGTCCCTAAACAACTACGACCAAGTTTTATCACGACCCAAAAGAAAAAATAACTTTCTAGGCCAGGTGCAGTGGCTCATGTCTATAATCCCAGCACTTTGGGAGACCAAGGCAGGACTACTCAAGCCCAGGAGTTCAAGACCAGCCTGGGCAATGTAGCAAAACCCTGTCTCTACAAAAAATGAAAATAATAATTTTTAAAAAGAAAAAATACATTTTACACGGCAACCAAGTATACATACATAAACATATCTTTTAAAAAGAAAGGTTTCCCAAATCAATATTTACTTTTACTTTACACAATGTACTGATATATTCTTTTTTAAAATGCTTTTTAAAATAAGTACATTGATTTCATTACCCTATGACACTGCCACCTGCTACTTAAAAATGTAGCCTTAAAACTTTATGCAGAGTGTGCTAAACTCCTTGCTCCTACCACCTTCTCCCACGACTCCAACATAAGAAAATGGGTAAAATCTAGCAAGTCTATTCTAAGTACAGACCTTGGCATAAATGTGAGACACCCCAGGTTCCTCTGAAGTCCCTGCAACATTGTGATTATTCCAACTGGCAGACAGGATACATTTGCTGAAAGGTTTCTCCAGCCAGACTACAGAAGCAGAAACCTTTTCTGTTGCCTTATCAGTGATATTGCTAAATTCTGCACTTGACAATGTGGACCAGGTTTACTACTGCTCCACAAGCCAATTCTTCCAAGAAATAAAACAGGATTCCAATATAATAGGATTCTAATACCAGACCCTTACATTTTTTGAATACTTTTCATACACATTATTCCGTTGCATTCTCCCCCTGGCAGTCTGTTAGAAAAGTAGAGAAGCTGCTCTTCTTCCTTTCACTAATGAAGGAATTGGAGCTCAGAGGGGTTACGTGGCTTGCCAGAAACAACACGGCTAATGAAGAATACAACGCAGGCTTGAACCCAAGATTTACTCATCTATCCACTTTTATGCTACAATTTTCATTTTTAATATCTGATACAAGTATGAACTTAAAAAGTATATTGTTTCTAGATACAAAAGCAAAGGTGAAAGCATGATATCAATATTGATGATACCAAAAAATTAAGATTAAAAATAGCAATGACATGTTAATAATTTTGGAGGCCTCTAAAGTTACTGGCAGTCCTAGTTCAATCCAATATGAATCTGATATCATCTTATATCTTCAATCAATGTTACATGATTATAAATTTATGTATATATTCACCATAGAAAATTACAGAATTGGGTGGTAAGAAACAACTAGCTATATAAATTGCACATACTCCCCCAAACCATTCTCAAGTCTTGTGGCTTCACACTAAATTATGAAGTTCCCAATGTAAAACCTGATTTGATTTCATCACTAAGCGAATTACAACAGCATAAGCATGTTCTTACTACATAATACTTGCAACATACATTCAATTTCCGAAGCACTTTTGGACAATGTCTAAAATCCATAAGCTAAAAGCAGAACCCAACACAGAATCTTGTTTCTTTTAAATGGCAAAGGTTAGTCTACCTATATGAGATGAATACCAAATAACATAATTAGAACTTATTAAAAATTTACAGAATCAGGCTAGAGAAACTACTTGAGGTCAAAGACTATAGGCCCTTAATTGTATAGATGAGAAAATTGATGCCCAGAGAAGTTAAGTGACATTCCCAACAGCAATTAATGACACAGATGGAATCAGAATATATGTCTATCTGTCAATCCAGAACTTCCCATTATTCTATATTACCTCTGCATTTAATGTGCTCTTAAAAAAGTCACTAACATCTAAAACACTTAAGACACATTAAGACTCAAAAACCAGGGGACACAACAATGTTCACGACAGTCTTCAGAAAACAATTTCTTAAAGGAATCTCAAAAATTCCAAACAACAAGCACTGAAAGCTGGCTCTTTATTTTTTTTATTTTCTTTCCTATCCAGAGCCCTACTTGATCAAAAACTGGCTCTTTAATCCATTGCAAATTATCAAGTAGCTTTTAATAACTAACACGGCTATAAACCACCATAACTGTTCTTTTTTCCATATCAATACTATTCACTTACTAAAAAAAAAATCTGAGGGTATAGAATATGCTGATAACTGTGCTGGGTATTGGCGACACCAGGGAACAAAACAGACGAGGCCTCTGGCTCTTCTAATGGACAGCTGGGTGCAACTCTCTAAAAATACTACTTCATGATTTGACAGGATATTTGCCAAAGTCCTTCACTACTCTACACAACTATAACAACATTTTCTTCCACCTCTTCCAAACTTATAATAACCTTCACCACACCCCCTCTAAAACGTGAATACGTCCTTTGGTAACTCAGCATTCTACTTCACTAAAGAAGGTGTGAACGTGTTAACTAGAACTACAGCAGATTTTTAAACTGACTTTACCACTCCTCACGGCCTGCGGCAAATTTCAAGAACTTTTCACAATCTGTAGTAACCCTTCCTGGTTCACAACCCTGATATCAAATGACTGCTAACACACCCATCCTACCCTCCACTAGAAATCTGAGTCAGATGGTTTAGGAGCAACCATGTTAGGGAGCATCTTCAGTGGACCCCTTTATGAGCCAGAAGCTGACTTACTTCCTCTCCTTCTCTGTTTATTTCCTCTGGATTCTTGTGTATCTCTGGATACAATGTATCTCCAATTAATCAGCATCTAATTTTATCAAGTGTGTTCCTGATAACTTGTGCACAAATTAACTTTTGGCAACAAATCTGTTTCACCTACACAAATCCATTATATTTTAAGAGATGCTCAATTTGCATCCTTTAAGTTTCTCATGCTTCCCCTTCTCCACTTCTTAAATTCTTAAAAAGCTATAAACTGCATAAGTTCGAGGAACTTAGGTCGTCCATAATATTGCTAATGACCAGCCTTAAACTAGACAACCACTGAAGAACCTGGCCTATGAGCTGAGAAACTTGGGTTCTTTTATGGCTGGCCATTAACGACAAGTGGGGCTGTACCACTGTGCTGGTCACTTGAAGTTCTCTGAGTCACCTGAAAATGAGGGAGTAATTGGAGCCAAAAGAGGTCTGTCGTCATAGGCAGCCAATCTAGAATTCTAGAATCCTCCAAATTTAGTTTAATATCACATACTATACTGGGTTACTCAAAACAGTGTCATTCTGGCTGGGGGTGGTGGCTCACGCCTGTAATCCCAACACTTTGGAAGGCCGAGGCAGGTGGATCACTTGAGGTCAGGAGTTCCAGACCAGCCTAGCCAACACGGAGAAATCCCTGTCTCTACTGAAAATACAAAAATTAGCCAGCCGTGGTGGCGCACACTTGTAATCCCAACTACTTGGGAGGCTAAGGTGGGAGTATTGCTAGAATCCGAGAGGCGGAGGTTGCAGTGAGCAGACATCACACTACTGCACTCCGGCCTGGGCGGCAGAGCGAGATAACGTCTCAAAAAAAAAAAAAAAAAAAGTGTCATTCTGTAAGCTCTTCTAGCCTGCCCAAGTCATAGGCCCTATAAAGGGAAGACTTTCTGCATGCCATCAATGTCTCCTGTCCTACTGAACAGCCCTGAATTTGAAAGGGGATGGTCCCCCACCACCTCTCCACGGACAAATCATAAACATTTAACATTTAAAAAAAATCATCTCCTGTAATTCAACCCAGGCCTCTCATGGCATTACCATTCACATAAGAGAAAGTTGAACCTCAACTGGAAAAGTATATGGTTTGGGGATGTTGTTTTGTTTGTTTGGGTTGTGGAAAAACAGATGTCAGAAAACAAAGTGGATATCAAGATACTAGAACAGTAAGAATTTAGGCCTCGGTCTGCAAACGACATTTGAACATCAATATGTAATAGTAGTTCATGTCCAAAACTCACAAGTGAGATTATCAAACTCCAGGGGAGTCTATTAATGTGGCCATAAAATCTACCCCATAATTTTGACATAACTTTTCCAGCCCAAAATACGACTGACATCATCTTATGGGTCCGGAAATACCATACATCAAGGAAAATTTCTACCGGAGAAATAACACTGTAATCGTTTGGGGAGCAGTCTGACCAGTGTTCCCTGAGTTACGCCAACCGCCCCCAACCATCCTTCCCACCTAATTATTACCAGGTCAGGAGGATGTCCTGCTGCACGCTCAGGCGGTCGCTCCTCCTTTCCACAAGACCCAGGCCCGCACCGTTCGCCCCGGGGCTCCCATGGCCCCCGACCTCCAGTCTCCAGCAACGATGGATCCCCACAGACCAGGCAGGGGGCGAAGGGCGCACACCCACCTCCCGGGAGTCAGTGGGAATAACCCCGGGCGCTCCCAGGATACGTCCCACACCCGGAGCCGCACGGGCCCATCCCCGCCAGGTCTGGGCAGGCAGCCGGAGCCCGGGACCCCGCCTCCCCCGCACCTAGGGTCCCGGCCGAGCTCGACCGCTGAGGTCCCGTTCCCACTCCCACTCCCAGCGCCTCCCCCTGGCGGCGGCGGCCGCCCGGGACGCCCCTCCCCTGGCGCTGCCTCCTCAGAGGGTGACAGCCGCCTGGCCGGGGCCGTACAGAGGCCGGCCCCTCCTCCAGCTCCTCCTCACCCCGGGAGGAGACAGGGGACGGGGATGGGGTTCTTACCAGGCAGCAGGACATGGCAAGGCCCGCCACGGCACAGCCTCCTCCTCCACCATCTCACCAGGCTCCCTGCCAGGCCCGGCGCAGGGCAGCGACTGAGCTACTAGGGCGTCTGGTCCGGCTGCTACTCCGCCGCCGCCGCCGCCTTCTCACAACCACAACAACACTGCAGCAGCGGCCACACAGAGTGCACTCCCGACGCCGAGCCGGGCGACGAGCGGAGACGCGCGCGCACGCTCGGGCGCTGAAGCCGGTGTCCGGGAAAGGGGGCGGGTCTCCGGGAAAGGGGGCGGGTCTCCGCCTGTTGGACGGGGGCGGGGCCTGGACAGGTGGTCACGCCCCAGGAGATAGGCGGGGCTGCAGCCCAGACGAATACCAGCGGCTGGGGAGAGGCTCGCGAAAAAGACCAGCGGAGGCAGAAGGGCTAGACAGATGGGAATTGGGCGCAGGAAAAGCGATGACAAAAAAAAATCTGGAAGATAACCAAAGGTGGTCCTACAAATTTTTAGGAGGCGTCTTTCCCTGGGCAAGACATGGCTCACTCTACTTACCAGAAAAATAGAACAACAGTGGTTATCTTTCACCTGCAATTGTGGTCAGGATAAAACCAGTTTAATATAGTGCAAGTAAATGTAGTGTTTTAGAAGATGTATTCAGGATACAATTTCTTTTTTTCGTTTCTTTTTTTTTTTCTGTCGCCCAGGCTGGAATGCAGTGACATCTCAGCTCACTGCAAACTCCGCCTCCCGGGCTCAAGTGATCCTCCCACCTCAGCCTCCTGAGTAGCTGGGACTACAGGCGCAGAACATCATGCCCCGCCAATTTTTGTATTTTTTGTAGACACGGAGTTTCTGCCATTTTGTCCAGGCTGGTCTCGAACTCCTGGGCTCAAGCAATCCACCCACCTCGGCCTCCCAAAGCGCTGGGATTAAAGGCATGGACCGCCGCACCCGGTCCAGAATACAATTTCAAGCTGATTCAACTTCAGCTCCTAATCAAAAGCTTAGCGGGAAGAAGTGAATTTTCAAACAAAATAAACCCCTCCCCCCAAAATTGTAACCTACCCACATTAGCCTGCAGAATTCCACAAACCAGGATTGCATTACCGCAGGCCCTAACAGATTCACCTCCTCTGAGTTGCCTTTTAACATTCTACCCTTGACTTTTCTGGAAACTGTCTGGGAGAGCTAGTCAAATGAAATCTATTCCTGCGTCTGTTGTAAAGTTTTTCCACAGCACTTTCTGAAATTTATTTTCAATGTTTATTGTTTTTTCACTCCACTTAGAAGGTAAAAGCTACTTGAAGATAAGGATCTTGTTTGTCTTGTTCATCACTATTTCCCCAGCACCTAGAACTGTGCAGGCTAAGTAGTAGGCAGTCGAATTTCTTGATAGCTGGCTGGGCGCGGTGGCTCACGGCTGTAATCCCAGCACTTTGAGAGGCTGAGGCGGGTGGAACACCTGAGGTCAGGTGTTCGAGACCAGCCTGGCCAGCATGGTGAAAACGCGGATCTACTAAAAATGCAAAAATTAGCCGTGCATGGTGGCGGGTGCCTGTAATCGCAGCTAATTGGGAGGCTGAGGCAGGAGAATAGCTTGAACCTGGGAGGCAGAGGTTGCCATGAGCCAAGATTGCGTCACTGCACTCCAGCCTGGGTGACAGAGCGAGACTCCATCTCAAAAAAAAAAAAAAAAAAAAAAAATGGCTAACATTTATTCATACAACTCATCTAATTGAATCTTCACAACTTTAATAGGTAGACGCCGTTATCTCCATGTTACAGATGAAGAAAGTGAAGCACAGAATAAATTGCATGTATTAAAACAAAATTCAAACCCAAACCCAGCAGACAACAAACAAACAAACACACAAACACACAAAAAACCACTGTACTCTCACCCACCAGGCTGTACTGCCCAGTGCATGACACAATAGCCTGAAATAAAATCTCAAGTAAGAAATTACTTTAGGCCGGGCACAGTGTCTCATGCCGGAAATCCCAGCACTTTAGGAGGCCAAGGCAGGTGGATTGCTTGAGCTCAGGAGTTCCAGACCAGCCTAGGCAACATGGTGAAATCCCACCTTTACAAAAAATACCAAAAAACTGGCCAGGCATGGTGGTGCGTGCCTGTAGTCCCAGCTATTTGAGAGGCTGAGGTAGGAGGATGGCTTGAGCCTGGGAGGCAGACGTTGTAGTGAGCCCTGATTGTGCCACTGCACTCCAACTGGGTGTCAGAGCGAGAAAAAAGAAAGAATGAAAGAAATTACTTTAGAGGTAAATTCTTGGAAAGCCCTTGCTTTACTACCAGAAAAACCAGTGCGCTTCCTGCTTTTTGATAACTCTTATGCAGCTGGTTGTGTCTCTCTTTTCACTCTGGCTTCCAGAAAGCCCAGGGCTAAATGTGAAGCTCAGCAATGACCCTTGCTTGGCCCCTAAGGTCCACTCTTGCCTCGACTTTGCACCTTTATTTATATGTGGCTGTCCTGATTTTCCCTTTGTGTTATATGACTGTAGGCTTTATGGAATGGGAGAAGAAATAGTAAACACATAAAATTGATGAATGACTTAAAGACTTTTATTTTATTTTTGAGACAGAGTTTCGCTCTTGTTGCCCAGGCTGGAGTGCAATGGCAGGAACTTGGCTCACTGCAACGCCTGCCTCCTGGGTTCAAGTGACTCTCCTGCCTCAGCCTCCTGAGTAGCTGGGATTACAGGCATGAGCCACAACAGCCGGTTAATTTTTTGTATTTTTAGTAGAGACAGCGTTTCTCCATGTTGGTCAGGCTAGTCTCGAACTCCCGACCACATGTGATCCGCCCGTCTTGGTTTCCCAAAGTGCTGGGATTACAGCTGTGAGCCGCCATTCCCGGCTTATTTTTATTTTTATATTTTATTTTATTTTCACACAAGGTCTCACTCTTGCCCAGGCTGGAGTGGAGTGGCTCACAGCCACCAGGTGATTTGGGCCCACAAGTCACCCTTGCTAAGAGGCAGAGTCCAGAGCAGAAACTGGGTAGATGCCAAAGGCAGCACTCCCTACTCCACACATGGGTTTCTGTCAAGTAAATCACCAGCCAGGTGAGGTGCATACAGCATCTAGGGAGATGGGACACCGTGTTGTCCCCTCCTTCAGCCAGGAGGCCCCACACTGAGCGCCACTGCCTCCACTGTCTGATGCTACAGGAGAAACGTTTCCTGCTGGTTAAGGAAGTAGAAACTGCAGATCACTTTTCATCTTATTGGAAATCACTCTTTGACACTCTTGCCTCATCTTCACTCAGTACACATTGACTCTACCAGCAATAGCGTAAAAATAAACACAGATTAAGGAAATAGGAATCCTTTATTCCTGGGACTTAAAAGCTTGACTTTCTCCAGTAAGTCAATTACCAGTGCCCACGGCAGGAAGAGCTCTGATGCCAGGGTTGACAGCACGCTGGAAAACCGGAGGAGTGTTTGCATTTCTGGGGCCTCAAGTAATGAGAAGTTCTTCCAAGAACACTGACAGGGGTATTATTGCCCTATTTTAGAATTATTACTCTGAAGATCAGGGAATTTCAGGCGGTTGAACTCATGCCACAGCACCTGTGCTTTTCTGGTAGGGGAGGGATGGAGTCCAGCTCAGGAGTCCCCCGTCATGGGAGAAAGCACTGTGAGGGGATGTCTGTGGGGGAATTAGAACCCTATAGCAGATGGGATAGGGTGGGGAGTCTACATATTTTTATTTGGATGTTTTGATGGAGTAAAGTTCCAAACCAAGCAAGTATCAGGCAGGGGGCAGTCCAGGCTGTGGTGCTGTGCTGTGAGGCTGGGAGTCCAGGCAGGTCCTGTGTTCACTGGTCACTTCCACAGCCTGAAGCCCCTCGAAAGGACATCTGCACAGAGGCCCGCTAGTGACTTCAGGATGCTGATGATGCCCTCAAGGTGAGAGCCAGAGAAAATCCCGTCAACTCTGTCAACCAAGGGCATCAATGGCCACGTGTGTGGTTTTCTCCTGCAAAGAACAAGCCAGTTTGCAAACCATGCTTTTGAGGCTAGAAAAATGGCTGTATTCCTTCAGTGTCTCCTGAAGGCTGGGTCCCCTGAGAGTTGATTCAAATACTGTATTCTCGTAAAATATGGTAACATTTAGACCTGAAAAATGGCCTGGGGGATAATCTTATCAAACCTCTGATGTGGTTATTTTGTAACTGAGTATATTGAAGGCTGGGGAACAAAGCCATCTGGTGCCAGCATCCTAGCTGCTCTCTCTCCTCCAGGGGCTTGCCTTGGTTGGGGGCCTTTCCAGCAAAATTAGGCTGAAGAAATGAGATTTTAGTTAAACAAGGCCCACTGTTGCTTTAAGACAAAATGTCAAAGTTTTAAAAAATGTATTAACTTGTTCTTTTGGCCAAGAAATCAATAGATGCACTTCCTTTCCACTGTGCAGGCACTGAGCTGACAGAGGAGTAAGAGCTTGAACCATCTACGTGGTCTGAGTGACCACATCCTTCACTTGGAGCCCTGTTCTACAGCAGATAATTCTGAGTCACCCCAGCTAATGGCTGTGCACAGCATCCTGATGCTCTGATTAGGCTGAGGGGCTTGTGGCGTGGTGGCTAGGCTGTCTCAGAGAGCACCTCAGGCTGGGTGGACCAGGCTGACCCAGAAGAGGGCAATGGGCCTTTGACAGGGACTAGCTGGCTACTATCTGCCTCTTCTGCAGTTTGGGACACTTAGGGTCATGGGTGAAAGTGTTTTTCCACATATAGTGGCCCGAAAGGAAAGGAAACTCATGCCAGTGTTCAGAAAGCGTGCGGGTTTCTCAGGTAACGTTACTGCAGCCACTGATGTCTAATCCAAAGAGCTCTGAATGCTTGCCATAGAGATTTGTAGTTTTAATACTGAAGCCCCGAATATTCTGATTTCCTCATTAAGACCGACCTAACACGAGCTATGCAGTCAGCTAAGGTATCAACGGGAGGAAATTGCCAGTGTTTCCCTCTTATTTTCCTCTGAGGTCATCTGAAAACAACCGCAGTGAGGACGGAGTTCGTGCGGCCCTGATGGCTGTGTGTTCCCAGCTCCAAGCATGCACTAAATATTTAATTCATTTGAATATAAATAAGTTAATGAATATGAATACATTAATAAATTAATTGGCATCGTTTTAGTCCTGTTGCAGTTTCAAACTCACCGATTTATCCAACTTCTTTGCACTGAGTTCTTATTCAAGTGAAGTATTCCGGTCTTGTGACTTGTACTTCTGACATAGTAATAGAACAACTAATATTTATTTAGAACTTTAGTTTACCAAGCACTCTACATTTTATTTTATTATTTATTTGTTTATTTTTTTTAGTAGAGACAGGGTTTCACCGAGTTAGCCAGGATGGTCTCGATCTCCTGACCTCGTGATCCACGCTCCTCGGCCTCCTAAAGTGCTGGGATTACAGGCTTGAGCCACCGCGCCCAGCCTACATTTTATTTTTACATTTTGTCTTTACAAACCCCCACGGGGCAGGCATTCTCCTTACACGCAGTGTTAATTGGTGACACAGAGGCTCAGGGGTTTAAATGGTTTCACTGTAAACAATGTAATCTAGTAGGATGTTGCTTTCCTATTTTTCCTAATACTACCATGTTTAGATGCAGGCGGCTAAGTGAGAGTATATGATTTCCTGTGTATGTATAGATGTAACCCACACTCATAGGCGGAAAGTTCTGCAGGCTGAGAAGTGAAGCCCTTTGCTGAACAACCACCACCAACATTCTAGGACCCCCACACCCTTGGTTCTGCAGGCTACACCCCTCCCATCTGCTTAGAAGCAGAAAGAAAACTCTGCGGTTACTTTTCCCTTTGACAATAAGCCGCGGTTCTCTTCAACGTTCTCCTGGGGACTTGGGTCAATGTTCCCCCATGCAAATGTTAGCCAGGCCCAGGGTTATTGTTTCCCCTACCCCTGAGGATTGATCATGGCATGCAACTGCCCCATATTGTATTTTGGTCACCCCCATCGGCATCCCATCTGCTGCTAGTGCCTCTGGCCAGCTTCTCGCATGGTCCTGACACGGTGCTGTCACTCTCACATTATTTGCACACATTGTTTACCTATAGCTGGACACATTGTTCATAGGAGCCCAGCTGGTAAAGTAAAAATATTCCAAGACTGTGCTGATAAGCTACTTCTTCCCTGCATCCTGGGCTGGTGAGAAGCTAAAGAGGAATGAATGCTCTGCCTGTGAAGAGGCCGCACTGCAGAGAAGAGGAGGCAGAGATGCAGTCGTCACGGCCCTAAGACCCTGCCTGGACCCGGTTTTGCAAGTCGAGGGAAGAGTTTTGCACAAATTCTCACTGGGAGCATTGTCAGGGCTGCAGCCACATCACTTTTTTTTGATCTGAGTCCTTTTAACATTAGCTATGATGTCAAAAAAGATGAAATTGAAGTTGTCAACATCTGGTGGAAGGCAAAAACCAGTGAATTTCTACCCAGGGAGAGTTCCTCTGCAGGGTCCCCGCTTCTGGTGGCCTGGAGTTGGGGAGGCCTCTGGAGCAAGTCAGGGGATTAAATTCTGGGTTTTCTTCCATTTTATTATTTTCCTATTTTGACATCTTTGAAAAATGGCTCAGCCTCATAGTGTATGGGTCTTCTGATTGCTTTTGTCTTGATTTTATTCTGACTGAGGGGCAATGGCCACTGTGGGCTCCTCATCCAGGATGAAGAGGGCCCCTCTGTGGCCTGGGTGCATCCATGCTCTTCACGGTGGCCTCATGGATCGTCATACAAAGGATGATCTCAGTGATGAGCTTGAGCCTACCCAAAATTAAATTATATGGGTTTATAAGATTCCTCCTCAGGATCAGTATCATCAGGCCTGTCCCTGCTGGTAGCAAGGCCATCTTTATAATGTGCTGTCATGGTGGTAAAGGCATCACTCACTTGATGGAGATCCCGAAGACCAGCTCTACTCGAGAGAGATTTAAGCTAAGTTGCCTGGGAGTCCTTGGTGCTTTTTCGAGGTTCTACTGAAGACAATGCCATCATCCAAGTATCTCTGAATGCCAACGTAGCTCTTGCCTCAGGAGCTCTGAGACCCATGTTATCTATTTTTGAACTGGCCAAGGCCCCCCACAGCAAGGAAAGGGATGCTCTTCCCATCCTTGTCAGCCCTCGTGTCTTGTATTCCACCCCACAGCCTCCTAGCAAGCATCTCAGTGTCTGCAGGTGAGCATGGCTGAGTTCAGTCTTGCTTACTGCAACTGTAGACATGAGGTCTGTGGAAGTAAGAATCCTCTCATTTGCTGACTGGCATTTTGTTTAAGTCCCATGTCACTAATCTCTGGCGAGACAATCCTCTTTGTGTTTCCTGGTGATGGACTTGAGTGATTTCAATGTAAACAGTGGCTCCACCTGGGAGTGTATCCCCTTCCCACGGGGAGGGGGTGCATAGCCCCTGCCAGGTTTCTGCTGTCCTCTCATCCTCCCACTGGGCTTTTCCCCTGCAGATGGCCTGGTGCCCACACTGCCTGCAAATGGTCACTCTTGCTTGTCCCAACACCACCTCCACTGCAGCTTCCAAGAGCCCTAGAAGGGCCGGGCCCTGGCTGAGCACTATTCCTAGGCCCTGGATGGCGGGTGTGGAACTATGTTCTCATCAAGGTCATTTCCTCTTCTATTTTCATCATGTTAAGTAAATCCCTCTCTCATCATGAAATGCCCTGGAGAGAACAGATGCATAGCTGTGGAGTCTTGTTCTGGGATATGTCAGGTACGGGCTCAGGTGTGTGGAGGCTACAGGGGGTGGACATGAGTGGTCTTTCTCTCGCTGTGAATCACATGTTTTGTGCCAGCCCAAGGGTTCTGTGAAGGAGAATCAGCCGTTTACCTGGCTGAGTCTAACCCTGGGATGGCGACAGCCGAAACCCCAGCTCCATTCCCTGACCTTCCCTAGGCTGCCGCATGGGTTCCCTGGCACTGTCACTGGGCTAATGCCTTCTGTCTCCTCCTGGGGTGAGGCCAGCCTTTACTCATAGTTTCTGCCCATTCCACATCATTCTGCCTCCCACCCTTGGCTTTTTCAAAAATCTGAGCCAAGCGTGTGCAAGGGGTTAGAAACATGCTGTCCACAGGGAACTAAAATACACTGAGATGAGAAACCAGCAGCACCTGCTTTGGAGCTGTCACACCTGGGAACTGAGAAGCAAACTCTCAGAGATGCCTGGAAACCTTGGGAGCACATGAGTTCTCTGCATATATTTCGGTTGCAGATGAGTTTCTAGTCAAAGTAAAAAACACATGAAGGGCATTCATGTTTCCAGGAACAGAAGCATCCTGTCTGATTTTTCAGAGGTGAAGGGAGCAGTCTGAAGGGGCCGTGGCATAAGTATGTCTACAATCAAAGCTCACAGCCAAGGCCCTGGGGGAGGTTCAGGTGTACCCCAGGGGGTGCGCCCCATCCAGCACTCCACTGACAGGGGCCTCGTCTTTATTAAATTCTAGGCCTTTTCCTGGGCACTAGTTACAAAAGGTGGGTTCAATGAACCCTAGGTTCTGTGGCTGCCACCCATCTCAGGGTCGCACAGGTAATGATTGCCACCCCCTCCACCTTCTGCTGAGGGTCCTGGTGACCCCCTGGTGGTGTAACCCAGGCCCTCACCCCTAAGGGGTCCTGAGCCTTGCTCACCACAGAGTCCTTGGTCTAGGGCTCCCGCACTTGTCCACATGCCATCAAATGCTGTGTACCGGGAGGTACTTGCGTGGAGCCCCTCCTTCCCCAGGCAGCACAGCCCTGCTTCTGCTAACACCACGGTCCAGGTGGTACCCATTTTTCTGCCTGCAGGTCCCATGGAGGAGTAGCCTGAGGACAAAGCAGCACCCGGAGCTTGTTTTTTCAGAGAACCTGGCCCAGCCCTGGCTAGAAGCCCCACAACTGTGGAAACCAGGGCCTCCTGCTTTTCAGAGCCTAGATATGCAGGATATAGATGCCCCTCAGAGGTCCTGGCTGTGAGGTGGAAGGTTGGGGGACACTGGGCTTCCTACTGCTGTGCTCCCATTGCCACATCTTCTACCTGGTGGGACAAGGCAGCTAGCAAAGGTGACAGATTCACCCAGACACTGTGTCCTCCCACATCCTGACCTGGCACCTGAGCCACCACTGCTGGGTCTGAAGCTCCCAGGAGTGTGTGTGTGCTGTGACCAGCAGACCTATGGCATGTGCCCTCTTCCTCCCTCTGTGGTGTGAAATCAGTTCCTCTGATGGTGTCATGTGAGGTCTTTGTCCTGATGGGTAGAACTTTCTATAAACCATCCCATGGCCCCGGGGAAAGGCAAGCTCATCCCTTCAGGTTTAGCTGTTTCTGTTAAATGCAACCCTGTCCTTCCCAGGGCATCAGGGCCCCGTGCAGTTGTCCCAGCCTGGCAGGAAGTCCCCTTGAGGATTGTGTGGAGGGCGCAGCCTGGGCCTGACTCGTGACCCTGGCAAAGAGCAGGTGAGCCCTGGGGCTGACCACCTGCACTTCCTGTTTGGTGGTGGGAGATGTGGGGCAATATTTCTTGCATTTCCTTTAGAGAGCATCTCCCAGCCTGCCCAGACAACCAGACCCCTAAACATGTGACTTGTAGGCAGGGCCTGGCTCTCTGTGGTGCTTTTCTGTCTCCTCCAAGCACCTGTGACTCCCAGGCTTCCAGCCCTGCCAGCTTCCCCCATCTGAGCTCCTGATGCAGGGTGAGGACTGTATTGTGGCAGACAGCATGCCGGTTTACACAGTTCTGGGACGAAACTGTAGGTATACATTATTTTATGTCCCGAGTAAATGAATCCTATTTATGGATACTTTTTTTGACACAGAGGGAAGAAAGGCATTGGTGAGATCCACGGGCCAGAGCTCAGCCTGTGCTCAGGCTCTGGCAGCAGCTGTGCAGCTCTGGAGCTGTTGCAGAGTGGGGAGGTGCTGTGTCTTTGCTCCCTGTGTTAAAGGCTTCATTTGTGTCTTTGTTCAGTTTGTTTTCTTTGACCCCTGTTCAGCAATACTGAAAATCAAGCATTCCTAAGAGGTGGAGACTTTGCTTTGGAGCAGGGGCGGGGGCATTGGGTGGAAATGGGGAATAGCTTGATAGTGGGAATTTCATTTTCTGGAGCTCACGTGCAGCCTCTTGATGGCCTCGTCACAAGTTCACCTGATGACCTGAGTGGCCACTGTCCTTCTCCTGAGTGAGTTATGTGCTTGCCAGGCACATGAGCAGTGCATGCTCACATTTTTCAAATGAAGGAACTGAGAAGGGTTTGTCAGCAGATTGTAAGCCTGAAGCTGCCAGTGTTTGGTCCACAGTAAACCACATGTGGAGAGCTTAAAAAAATTGCCCTCAAATCTGGCAAGAAAATGACAGTAATAAATTAAATTATTACTGTGATACACATGTTTCTTTCATTACAATTAGATATATTACACATATCCCAATTTTGCAGAAGTTTATCATCTATCAGTATTTATTTATTTTTTTTTGCATAAGTTTCCAAGGAATCCTAATGATGGGGACTGTCTCTTTTAAAATTAAATTGTGTAAATAACTCCCAGAGCCATGCTGGTAAGAAACAAAACAAAACAAAAAGAACTAGAAACATGAACAAACATTGGATTTCTGCTGTAAAGAGGATGCAAAGCAGGCCTGCCTGCTGCACCTCCCCAGAGCTAATCCTTGAGCCAAAAGAGCTTCCTGGTGAAGCCTCGCACTCTCTGTAACAGGGCGTGGGGGGACCAAGACATGCGGGCTCCAGATTAGACCATCTTTACCTAGTTATGGGATTTCAGTCATGTCTTTTAAATTCTTTGAGCTGCAGTTTTCACATATGTAAAGTGAAAGTATTTTTAAAATTTTAATTTGTGTTATGACCTTGTATAAAGTTAAAATAGTACATTTGAAAGCATTGTAGCTGAAGTCAAACGTTCACGTGTGTGCATGCAATGGCTTCTTAATTATTTTAGGGCTTAACCTGGTTTTACTGGTACTGTTACTAGCACTGCTACTTCTCCATGTCTCTGAAGACTATGAAATACTTAGAACTTAAGCAACAAGAAGCACCTGTCAAAGCGTTCTATGGCCGATGACAGATTTGACACAGCTGGATATAGTAATATGTTCGATGGTGCCCAGATCATTGCTAAGCAGAGACTTCATGCTATTCTAAGTCGAAAGTGTCCCTAGAATTCTGAACCTGCTGAAGCAGCCTTCAGAACTGAAGTTGAGAAAAGTACATTTTCTTTTTTTTTTTATTATTATTATACTTTAAGTTTTAGGGTACATGTGCACAATGTGCAGGTTAGTTACATATGTATACATGTGCCATGCTGGTGCGCTGCACCCACTAACCCGTCATCTAGCATTAGGTATATCTCCCAATGCTAACCCTCCACCCTCCCCCCACCCCACAACAGTCCCCAGAGTGTGATGTTCCCCTTCCTGTGTCCATGTGTTCTCATTGTTCAATTCCCACCTATGAGTGAGAATATGCGGTGTTTGATTTTTTGTTCTTGCGATAGTTTGCTGAGAATGATGATTTCCAATTTCATCCATGTCCCTACAAAGGACATGAACTCATCATTTTTTATGGCTGCATAGCATTCCATGGTGTATATGTGCCACATTTTCTTAATTCAGTCTATCATTGTTGGACATTGTTGGTTCCAAGTCTTTGCTATCGTGAATAGTGCCGCAATAAACATACGTGTGCATGTCTCTTTATAGCAGCATGATTTATAGTCCTTTGGGTATATACCCAGTATTTTCAGTTAAAGAAAGTCTGAGAGACCGTGTTGCCATCACACCCAAACCCCAATAAATAAACTTGTTCAGGATGAAGAAAAATAACAGTTGGAAATTCTACTTCACAGAAAAGATGAAAGTGTGCCAAAAATAGTAAATATGTGGAGGGGAAATTACTGTTTTAATGACATCCTCCAGGAATTACAACATGTACAAAAGAAAAATCTATGACAACATGGCACAAAAGATGAGAGGATGGTAAGGTAAGGTTTTTATATTTTATATACAGTGTTATGATATTTAATATACATTAAGTATTTATATTTTAATTTCTGAACAACTCACCAAAAATAAATAAATGAAACAAAGAGTCATAGTTAAAAAAAAAACAAGGTACAAAATCCATACTAAAAAAAAACAAAAAGAAAACCCCATAAAACAAACAAACAAACCAAAACTACCATAATCCAGAAGAAGATGAGGAAGGCGGAACAGAGACTGTCAAAATAAGTAAAAAGGAAACCTCAATAACCACTTTTAAAACGAAATACACTTATGAGATAAAGATATAAATAGATTTGAACTGAAAAGATGGACAAATATACACTATGCAAATCTTTGTTATCAAAAACTGCAGCCAGTGTATTAATGGCAGATAAGACAGACTACAAGAAAGACAAGCATCACCAGGGATAAAGAAGGATGTTTTATACTAATAAGTCCATTTGCTTAGAAAACCTAATAAGCATAAGCATGCATACACCTAAGAAAAATAACAAAATACATGAAGCAAAAGTTATTGAATTAAAATGATAAATGCATAAATCCACAATTTGACAATTCTAATTCTTATATCTCAGAAATTAATAGAAAAAAAACTACAACAATAAGACTACAAGGTATTAATAGGAGAGATTATAACCAGAGCACTGGGAGAAAAACAGCAATATCCAATATGCTTACAACTATTGGTTGACAACTCAAAAGTTCCCAAAAGAATTTTTGACACTAAATAAAGGTAAATAGCCTGGAAAACCTACAAGCCAGCATAGGAAGGAAGTGGAAAATGAAACATTGATTGAAAATAAATCTGGAAGTCCGGGCGCAGTGGCTCATGCCTGTAATCCCAGCACTTTGGGAGGCCAAGATGGGTGGATCACCTGAGGTTGGGAGTTCGAGACCAGCCTGACCAACATGGAGAAACTCTGTCTGTACTAAAAATACAAAATTAGCTGGGTATGGTGGTGCATGCCTGTAACCCCAGCTACTTGGAGGCTGTGGTAGAAGAATTGCTTGAACCCGAGAGGCAGAGGTTGTCGTGAGCCAAGATCTCCCATTGCACTCCAGCCTTGGCAACAGGAGCGAAACTCTGTCCCCCAAAAAAAAGAAGAAAAGAAAAGAAATCTGAAAAAAGGAAAAGAGAATTGAGGATAAAGCTTTGCAAATACAAAATCCAAAAATCAAATGATAGAAATAAGTTCAAATATATCACTTTTTCCTACCAAACATAGAGGGATTAACCTCATATATTAAAATACAAAATTATCAATAACTAAGCAGCACTTTCAAATTAAAGAAATTAAAAATTAAATATTTTATAAAAATTTTAAGTAAATATTCACAGAAAGCAAGCTGCTATCACAAAATTAATTTTAGTTTAAATAAAATTTAAGGAAGAAATAATAAACAACAAGATTGACACTGCACATGGAGGGACCATAGAACCGGGTAGGTGAACCAACGTCAAGTCCAATGCTGGCCTCACCTCCAGGACATACAAAGAAACTAACAGGATAGAGCAGGTCTAGAGAGGGACACTGGAACTCGTACTTCTGAATTTAAATGGGAAATAGACAAAGATGTTATGTGTTTATAAAAGGTTTTAAATCACAACAAATGCTGAATGTACATCACTTTCTAGTATATGTAATACTTACCAAATGGGACCCATATTAGGTTGCAAAAGAAATTACAAAAACCCGGAGATAGGGACCAAAGGACTGAAAGAAGTCAGAACAAAAAACACGCCCCATATATTTTAGGGAAAAACAGCACAGTGATTTAATGGTAAATCACTATAAACATGAAGGCATTCACCTAGAATAGAGATGAGATGCCAGAGTTCAAGACGACAACATGTGTCAGCCTGACTTTCTGAATGACTGCACAGGCAAGGCTGCCATCCATGGAAGCGCAGAAAAGGACACCCCTTAGGTCCTGGATGGAGGAGG
Source organism: Homo sapiens (assembly GCF_000001405.40). Classification (NCBI taxonomy): domain Eukaryota; kingdom Metazoa; phylum Chordata; class Mammalia; order Primates; family Hominidae; genus Homo; species Homo sapiens. Next base: position 21,338,959 of record NC_000015.10, read on the forward strand.
ATGACCCCCAATACTGGATAGAGAAAGATGCCCTCCAATTCTGGGATGGAGAAGGATGCCCCCCAGTCCTGGATGGAAAAGGATGCCCCCTAGTCCTTGATGGAGAAGGATGCCCCCTAGTTACTAGATGGAGAATGATGTCCCCTGAGTCCTGGATGGAGAAGGATGGTCCCCCAAGTCCTCGATAGAGAAAGATGGTCGTCCAAGTCCTGGATGGAGAAGGATGCCCCCCTCAGTCCTGGATGGAGAAGGATGCCCCCTAGTTACTGGATGGAAAAAGATGTCCCCCAAGTCCTGGATGGAGAAGGATGCTCCCCAATTCCTGAATGGAGAAGGATGCCCCCTAGTTCTACATGGAGAAGGACAAACCCAGTCCTGAATGGAGAAGGATAACCCCCCAGTCCTGGATGAAGAAGGATGCCCCCCAAGTCCTATATGGAGAAGGACAAACCCCAGTCCTGGATGGAGAAGGATGCCCCCCAAGTCCTATATGGAGAAGGACAAACCCCAGTCCTGGATGGAGAAGGATGCCCCCCCAAGTCCTATATGGAGAAGGACAAACCCCAGTCCTGGATAGAGAAGGATGCCCCCCAAGTCCTAAATGGAGAAGGATGCCTCCAAAGTCCAGATGAAGAAGAATTTCCCCCACTCCTGAATGGAATAGGATCCCCTTCAAGTCCTGGGTGGATAAGACACCTCCCAAGTCCTGGGTGGAGAAGGACACCCCTCAGGTCCTGGATGGAGAAAAGATGCCCCCTAGGTCCTGGATGGAGAAGGATGTTCCCCAAGTTCTGCTTGGAGAAGGTGGCTCTGGGGACCTCATGGGGAAGGATGCCCCTTTTCCAGCCTCCCCATCCATACTTATCCTGACTTGTTAGTGTAGAACAAAGAGATTTGGAGGAAGAAACACAGGACTAAACTTTAGTCAGAATGTTTTCCTTTTAATCAACATTTTATAAATTCTAATTTTTATTTGATAAAAATAAGTGAAATGTATGACATAAACACAGTGTAACAACCGATTAGACCTATTTTTCCGATCTGAGTCCTGGCTACCGGCTCTATTAGTCATTCTACTTTTCTGTATTTGTAAAGCTTCTCAAAATTAAAGATAAAAGAGTTTATTGCTAGTAACATGTATAAATAGACATTGAATAAAATGTGGCTCTTTAAAAATTAGTTTATTCTATGGGCTTCTTTTGAAAGGTTATGGTGTACTAAAATTACTGGTGGATCTTTATTACAAGCTCACTGGTAAAAATAGTCAATATGGGAATATTCTAATTTGTTAGAAATTAGTGTTGAGTGAGTATTAATCAAAACTTTAAAACCAAAATACATGGACATAAGAATAAATTATTCGACTTAATTATCCACTGACTTTAAATTCTAATTGCTAAATTTACTTTTTGCCCATTTCACCTCCTTCAAATCTCCAAGTAACTCTTCATTTTTCTCTCCTGTCAATATTTTATTCTCCCTTATTTTTTTTTCTATTTCCTGATTTTTTGAACAACTCCAAGGGAGTTGTGTTTTGCTTGTGTTGAATGACGTCATTACACCAACCCGTTAGGCAACTAGAACGTCACCAAGGTGAGCACTAGGAGACTTCAGACCACGGAGCCTCTCCTGATTTTTGACTCAGGTTACCTGGCAACTGTGTTTAAATTATGAGTTGTTTAATTTTTTTAGATCCCCTATAGATAAAGAAGGATTTTTAATAACCATCAATTTAAAATGCACTGGGACACTTCATGACTGACATTTCTTGCAGTTTCTGTGCTGTGGCCTCATGAGTAACTGTCTGTAAGGAACATCATGTTCCTCATTCTGCCCTTGCTCCTTGGGCTCCAAAGGGAAAGACCAGAAATTCTGTGGATATAAAACATGGAAACATTCATTCTTTAAAGGAAAAGGCGGTAAAGCAGAGATGAGGAAAGGATGGTATTGAATACATGCAAATGGATAAAACATGAATGATCATGTTCTCATGTTCAACTCAATTTTTAAAAGTGGATGTATGAGCAGTGCGAGCATTTAGTCAGGGCATGGTGGGCCTGTGGGCTAGAACAAGAGGCCACACTCAAGGAGAGATGGCACTCACGACGGGGGGCCTCTGCTCCTTTATGACTCCCCTTCCTCAGTGACCCAGAGCACCCTCCTATCACAGCCTGTAGGGGAGAGGAAGGTGTTAGGGCACTTTGAATCACAGCGGAGTGTGTGTCTACATGCTCTCCTCACATGCCACAAATCTGCATCGCTTTACAATATTTCAATAGATTATGAGTAAGGAAGATCGCTGCAGAACCAGTAAAAGCTGCCCTCCCAGACAATGCGCTAAATTGGGTTTTACAAAGTATTGTGAGAGATCTCGGGAGAGGGGGAGCAACCTGCTCATAGATTTTGCCAAAATCAACATTTAAACACCTCCGTTAGGCAGAAGAGCAGCGTTACTGGAATTAGTTAGCAGTTCTTTCCTGCTGGACATCTCTCAGCCTCCAGACCCTACAGAGAAGAGGCCATGACCTAAAAGCAGTTTAAAAGCTTGAAAAAATAGAAGCTAAGGATTAAGCAAATATCGAAATTTAGAAAAGGAGAGAAGACTTTATTTCTTGTAGAGGGTTACAGCCTGCAAGGTGGCCACCCCACAGGCTGGGAAGAACAGCCTCCTGCCGAGACCAGAGATGGGCACTTCCAGGAGGAGGGGTTGGGGCAGGAGCTTTGGGGTGAAAAGGTTGGCTAAAGATACACAGTCATCAGGAGACAGGCATAACAACATAAAACCAGTTGTAGGTAACACAGAATGATTCTGATATTGATGTTCAATTCCACACACTAACAGACGTGAGAACCTCATTCACCGCACGTGGAGAAGGCACTGTATCTGCTCCGTGGTGGTCCCGATGACTTGTGTTTATCATTGCCTGGGTCTGCATTTTCTCTTCTCTAGATTTTGCTTATCCTGCAAAGTTTGTGCTGGGACATCATTTCTAGGATTGAGTTTAAGCTGAGCCTCAGAGTTTTTATTGCAGCTACGGTGGATATGGCTTGGTTCCCTGCAGTACTCTCTGGAAAGTACCTTCCTCCGTTTGAAATCCCTGACGTGGTACCTCCTACAGCCTGCACAGCTCTGGCCTCTGCCATGGGTCTCATGGCCTCTTCTGCTAAAACTAGAGAGGAGGTTCATCCCCTGCCTCTTTATAGAGAAGAGCCACTTGCTGACTGAGCTGAAAAGGGACTCCCCACTGAGCAGGCTCACCAGTGTCCCGACAGCCGGGCAGATCATGGGGACGGGGAATTCTGAGCAGAACCTCTTCAGAAGTTGAGTCTCAAGGGGCCTTGGGGAACTTGGTCAGCAGATGGCAAGACTTCATCTGTCAGTGGGCGGGTCAGCTCAGCGGGACTCCTGTCTTTGGAACTGAGACTCAAGTCTCTACTCTGTACCAAGACAGAGATGGAGGCCAGGAAACAAGACACACAACCATTTTCCATCATCGAGGGGCAAGGCAGGGCTTGGCATGAGGCAGAACCAGGCTCCATCAATGCCACATGTCAGGAGGAACCCCTTTTCTGTTTCAATCCCTCCTGCCCATTTGTGGGAGGCATTAGAGAGGCCTGACATAGTTTTTTTTCTCCACAGCCTGAGGACGTGATAGGATTTCATTCCCGCCCCACCTTGTGGTTGGATGGAATCATGTGCCCAATTCTGGTCAAGATCAAGAAACTGAGGTATCATTTTTGTTTGTGTGGGACCAGGAAAATGGCTCTAATTTGGCTTTGTGTTTGTGCATGTGTGTGAGAACGGACAGGTAAATGTGTGTAATGGAGAGTGGGTAGGTGAGTGTGTACATGTGTGAGAGTGTGTATGTGAGTTGTGTGAATGTTTGTGAAGAAATGTGTGATAGTGGTGTTTGAACTTGGCAGTATGAGTGTGTATGTGGAATATAACTGTGTGCGGATGTGTAAATATGAGTGCATATGTGTGTTAATGTGTGTAAGTGTGTGAATAAGCCATGTGAGTGTGGTGTGTGAGCTTGGGTCCATGAGTGTGTGTGCGTGTCTGTGTGAGCATGACAGAGTGTGTGAGTTTGGGGTGTGTGCAGGCCACAGCCAGTCCCTCCTGGGGTACTAGATCTTTCCAACCCAAGCACCTCAAGTCGTTCTCCTTCCTCACTCCATCCTGAGCTTCCCAGCCAACTGCCTCTCATCCAAACTCCCACAGGGAAACAGTCCCTGGGACTAGGGGCTCTGAGCATGGCACAGTGCCAAGTCTCCTCCCTGGCCACCTCCTGAGAACCTGGGTGTAGCACAAAACAGTCAAATATGTTCCTCTTCTGTCATCACTAACTAGAGCTCCACAGCTTCCCAGATTGCCCTGTTAGCTCTTCACCATAATTAGCTATTTTCTGATATCATACTAACATTCCTTAATTATTCCCTCAGAAACAAAGCAAATCCGTGGGATGCAGAGGGTACGCTGATGACTTCTGCTGGGGAGAGAAGCCCAAACACACGTCCTGGGCAGAGCCCAGAGACCTGGAGTGTGGCTGCCAGTGGGCACCCGGCTGAGGGACAAGCAGGTGGGCCTCAGTGGTGGCTGCCAGGTCCCTGGACGCAGGGGGCCACCGGCTTTGCCTCTCCTCTGCCTCGGAAGCACCGGAGGCTTTGGGGATCTGGTGGTCCTCCGGCCCTGAACGTGGACCTGGTGTGACAAAGGGAAGTTTGCCATCTCCATCCTCCTCAAGCTGCCTGTGCACCCCAGTAGCACTCACCCTCTCTGTGCTCCCGTCTGCACCGCATGTCCTGGGGTCCTTCTTTGTGCTGCACCCAGTGACAGGAACCAGTGTCCCGACTGTGACTTACTTCCCCCCTCAGGGACACACAAGGACTTTCACATCGAGGCTACTTTTCACCCCTTCTGCCTCCTGCAGGGACGCTGCATGCAGAGGCAGGAGGACAGAGGGGCTGGTCTCAGGTGTGGCTTCTCTCATACCTGGCGCAGGTGGCCACTCCCCTTCCCCCCCCACTCCCCCACCCCACCTCAGCTCCCGGGTGTGAATGAGAAAGGGGAACCAAGAGATCATCATTACATGGGACATGCCACAAACCCCAAAAAGACCCATTTGGTGAAAAGAAGTAAAACAACCACAAGGCTATTTTGGCCTGAGGTGGTCTCATGGCTGAAGCAGCCGCTGGTCTCTTGCCTGGGCTACTCAAATAGTAACCCGGTGTGTCCTCCCATGTGCATTTTCCTTCGGGTTGAGCAAAAACACTTTGTCATCCTCCCACTCCTCAATAGAGCAGAAGGGAATGAAAGGCAACTACAGGGCCTTACAGAGCTGCTCCGGGGGCCGCGGGAAACTTATCAGCATCCTAGAAAAGACAAAACCAGTGGGTTGCATGTGGCCTCTGACACCTGCCACCCTGACTGCAGGGAGTGGCCTCCCCCACCTTTCACCTTCCCATCATTAGTAAGCAAAGTGACCCCCTACGCCTGGACAAAGCGCTCAAAAGCCCAGGCCCGCGGGTTAGCTCCAGCCGCTCGGCTTGACAGGGGCCAGGGAGGCGGGCCAGCCCCACAGCCAAGTCACAGCTCCAGGGCCTGGTCGCACCTGAGCAGCGCGGCCTCGGGCTGCTGCTGGCGCTGCAGGATCCGCGCCTGACCCTCCAGCCTGCGCAGCGGGCACTCGGCCGGGAAGCACCTCTCCAGCAGGCGGCTCAGCACCACGTTCACGCGCCCGCGCCTGTGGCCGCGCGGGCCCCAGCTCCACTTAGCGCTCACAGACCGTGAGCCCGCAGGGCAGCGTCACAGGCTTGTGCAGCAGCCGTGGGCAGCCAAGCAGGTCGCGGGGCGCGCCGGGCGCCAGGGCCGGCCCTCCCTAGCCCTGAGCTCGCCGCCAGGCTTCCCCGCCAACAGTGGCCGTTCGCGCAGGCCGGGACACACCAGGCCGCCCGCCAGCTCCCCCAGCTCCTCCGGACTCAGCGCCTCCAACCTCCCGGCTACATGGAACGCGCCCAGGGCCACCGGGAGGCGGCCGGCGCGGGCCAGCGCGTCCCCCAGCCTCAGGCACCGGCCGCGGTCGGGCTGCGCCAGCAGGGCCAGCATGGAGCGGAAGAGCCCGGCGCTTTCTGGTACTTGCTCGCGCGGAAGGCCTCGTCGCCCTCCTCCAAGCGGTGGGCGATTGGCTTCCCGCAGCAGCAGCCCGACACTGGGGCGGCGGCGGCGGGACCGGCTCAGTGCTGATTCTCGCGGGGCTGCGACCCTGCGGGCCTGGAGCGAAGGCGCGGAGCAGGGGCGATGAGCTGCTGCTGGGAACTGGCCGGCGGGAGCGCGGCCACAGCCTTCGCCTGCAGAACCAAAAAAACGGTTTTAAAAATCTTTTTAACATCCGCAGAACGTGAAGAATTACATTGGAAATTGGTTAGAGATTGTATTGGACCTATAGATTGATTTGAGTATGATGGTCATTTTAACAGTATTAACACTTCTAATTCAAAAAATGGGATAACCTTGTCTTTACTTGTATCTTTTCAATTGATTTTTATCAATGTTTTATAGTTTTCATTTTAGACGTCTTTATTTTGCCAGGCATTTTTTTTATAGCTATTTTCAATGGGGATTCCTTTTTCAGATAGTATGCTGTTGGGTATAGAAATGCATCTGATTTTTCTATGCTGATTTTGTATTCTAAAACTTTACTGTATTCATTTACTGTTTCTGTTTTTCAGTATAGGGTCTTTTATACATATGACATGATCTATGTCATCTGCAAACAGGGACAATTTGACTTTCTTTTTGTTTTTCAATTTGGATGTCTTTTCTTTCTCTTTTCTAATTGCTCTAGCTAGGACTTCCAGTGCTATGTTGAAGAGAAGTTATTAAAGTGAACATCCTTGTCTTGTTCTTGATCTTAGAGACACAGTTTTCAATTTTTCCTTATTCAGTATCATGTTGGCTGTGGGTTATCACATATGGCCTTTATTTTATTGAGTTATACTCTTTTTATAACTGATTTGTTAAGAGATCTTATGTTTACAAAAAACATTGAATTTTGTCAAATGCTTTTTCTGTATCTATTTAAATGATTATATGATTTTTATCTTACCTTATCGAATGTGGTGTATCACATTTATTGATTTATATATCATAAGCCCTCCTTGCCTCCCTGGAACAAATACAGCCTGATTATGGTGAATCATCTTTTTAATGTGCTTTCAAATTATGATTGCTAGCATTGCTGGTTTTGAATTTTTGCATTTATGTTCATCACTGATATTGGCCTGTAGTTTAGTTTTTCACTGTTCTTGTCGCATTTTGGAATAAGGTAATTCTATCTTCATAGAATGAGTTTGGAAGAGTTTCCTCCTTTTCACTTTTTTTGGAACAGTTTGTAAATAATTAGTATATGTTCCTCTTTAAATGTTTTGAAGAATTCAGCAGTATAAGCATTGGATCCTCGATTTTTATTTTCTTCTCCTTCCCTCCCTTCCTTCCTTCCTCCCTCCCTCCCTCCCTCTGTCTCTCTTTTCTTCCTCTTTCTTTCTTTCTTTCTTTTTCTTCTTCTTCTTAAATATTTTTGGTTTAGAGACATGGTCTTTCTTTGTCACTCAGGCTGGAGTACAGTGGTGCAATCATAGCTCACTGCAGCCTCAAATTCCTGGTCTTAAGTGATCCTCCTGCCTCAGCCTCCCAAGTTGTTAGGACTGCAAGTGCACACCACTAAACCTGGATAATTTTTATTTTTATTTTTGTAAAGACTGGGTCTCACTATGTTCCCCAGGCTAATCTGGAAATTCTGGCTTCAAGTAATCCTCCTGCCTTGGCCTCCAAAGTGTGAGATGACATGTGTGAGACACTGTGCCAGCCCTCCAGATTTTCTTGTATTGAGAGACAATGCTTCAATCTCTTTATTTGTTATTGGTCTGTTCGCATTTTGTATTTCTTAATTCTTCAATTTTGATAGGTTATATGTGTTCAGAAACGTATTTATTTCTTCTAGGTTTTCTAATTTATTGGCATATAATTTTAGTACTTTCTCATGATTCTTTGTATTTCTGTAGTAACCATTTTAATGTCTTTTTTCATCTCTCATTTTATTTATGTGAATCTTCTCTCTTTTTTCTTAATCTGACTAAAGATATATCAATTGCGTTTATCTTTTCAAAAAATAACTTTTTATTTCATTGATCTTTCATATTTTTGTCTCCATTTTGTTTATTTGTGCTCTGGTCTTCATTATCTATATTCTTTTACCAATTTGGGGCTAAGTTTGTTCACGTTTCTATAATTCCTTGAAATGCATTCTTAAATTATTAATGAGAGTTTTCTTTCTTTCATATAGAAATTTATTTCTACAAACTTCCCTCTGAGGACTTTTTCTGCTGTATTTCGTAAGTTTTTATATGTTCTGATTTCATTTTCATTTGTCTTAAGAATTTTTAAAATGAAACAAAATTTATTTTTTAACCCATTGTTTGTTTAGGGGCACGTTGTTTAATTTGTATGTATTTGCACAATTTCTGAAGTTCTTGTTGTTTATTTCTAGTTTTATTCTATATTGTCAGAAAAGATGTGATATAATTTTGATTTTTTTTTGAATTTGCTAAGGCTCATTTTGTGCCTAGTATATGATCTATCATGGAAAATGTTCCATGCGCAGTAGAGAAGACTGTGAATTATGCAATTGTTGGATAACATGTTCTGTAAATGACTGCTAAGTTATTTGGTCTAGAGTTCACTTTAAATATGATGTTTCTTTGTTGATTTTATGTCTTGATAATCTGTTTATTGCTGAAAGTAGAATGTTACTATTATTTTATTGCTTGCTGTTTCTCCTGTTAGATCTATTAACATTTGTTTTATATATTTAGGTCCTTCAATATAGAGGGCATATATATTTACAATTATATTATCTTGTGATATTGATCCCTTTATCATTATATAATGGCTGTATTTGTCTGTTTTTATAGGATTTTGTTTGAAGTATATGTTATCTGATATAAATATATCTATACTGGCTTTCTTTCGGTTTCCATATTTATAAAATATATTTTTCCATCTGATCACTTTCAATTTATGTGTGTATTTACAGATGAAGTGAATTTCCTGTAGAAAGTTTATAGTTAGGTCTTGTTTTTAATCAGTGTAGCCATTATATGTCTTAAATGGGATAATCCATTTACATACAAGATAATTATTGATAGGCAAGGACTTGGTTCTGCCATATTATTACTTGTTTTCATGTTTTTTTTAATTTGTACTTTGATTGATTGATTTCTCTATCTTCCTTTGTGATTAAGTGCTTTACTCTATCAGTGTGTTTCGGTTTTTTTTTTTTTAATTTTTAGAGTATCTTTTAAAAGTTTTTGCTTTGTGGTTACCACAAGGCATGCAAAGAACATTTTGTGGTTACAATAAGTTATTTTAAAGAGATAGCAACTTAATTTTGATTCAAAAAGAGGGGAAAAGAAACCACTCTACTCTTTAACTCCATCACTCCCTCACATTTTGCATTTTTGATGTCTTAATTTACATCTTTGTATATTGCTATTCCTTAACAAATTATTGTAATTATTATTATTTTATTTGTATTGTTTTTTAACCTTCCTACTAAGGATATATAAGTGCTTTACATCCAATTATTACCATATTAGAGCATTCCAAATTTGTCTGAATCCTCACTTCTACCTGTGGGTTTATACCTTCAGATTTTTTGTGTTACATATTGCTGCCATTTTCTTTCAGTTTGGAGAACAATATTTAGCGTTTCTTGTAAGGCTGGTTTGATTACAATGAATTCCTTTGCTTTTTGTTTGTCTGAGAATGTTTCAATCTCTCCTTTATTTCTAAATGATAGCTATGCTGGATACTTTATTCATGGTTGACAGTTTTTTTAATTCAGCACTTGAATCTATTATCCTACTCTCTCCTGGCCTGTAGTGCTTCTGCTGAGAAGTCTGCTGCCAGGCATATTGGAATTCTCTTATGTGTTGTTTCCCTTTTCTTAGTCCTTTCAGGGTCTTCTCTTTGTGTTTGACATTTGAGAGTTTAATTATAAAATGTCTTTGGTTGTCTTATTCAGATTAAATATGATTGGGCACTTTGACCATCCTAAACATTTTAATCTTTCTCCAGGTTTAAAAAGTTTTCTGTTATTTCTTTGAATAAACTATCTCCTTTTCATTCTTAGTTCCCCTTTAACACCAATGATATGTAGATTTGCTCTTTTGTTGGTGTCCCACAAATCTCATAAACTTTCTTTGTTTCTTTTCATTCTTTTTTTCATTCTACTCTGACCATGTATTTTCAAAGAGCCTGTCTTTGAGCTCACTGTTTCTTTCTTCTGCTTGATCAGTTCTTCTGTTGATGCCTTCCGTTGGATTTTCAATGTGTTAATTGAACTTTCCTGCTTCAGGATTTACATGTGATTTTTCCCATTATTTTGATTTCTTTGTTGAATTTCTCTGGTAAATTTCTGAATTATGTCTCTGCTTTCTCAGTGTTCAGGCTCTTCTTAAAACAGCCATTTTGAATTCTTTGCCTGCCAGATCATTCATCTGTATGTCTTTAAGTTCAGTTGCTGACACCTTGTTTTGTCCATTTGGAGAGGCAACTTTTCCTAAGCTATCATTATTATATGTAGATATACATCTCTGTCTACACATTGATGAATTAGATATTTATTTGTGTCTTCTCAGTCTGGGTTTGTTTGTGACTACTTTTAAGTGGGCTTATTAGGAAATGTTGAGCGGACTTACCATCGTATTCCATTTTAGCATTAGAGAGAGTCCAAATCCCACGTTAGACATAAGTCTTCCAATGGCTCCACCACTGCTGCAACATTTGCTGGATGGGCCCATGGGTGATCCACAGGGAGCCCCTGGCTATGGGGGAGAACAAGTCAGGCCGTCAAGCGTGTAGTCTGTGTATTATGTTTCACATGGTGGCTGTTGCTGGCCCCACCTCCTCTTATGTCCTTAACATGCCTCAGGTGGTTCATCCCTTTTGGCACTCATGGTGCCACTTGTGGGCTGATACAGGAGTGAGTCTACTGTGAAGGCACTCAGTATAGTGGAAAAAACAAATATCAACCTCCTGCTGACTTTTTTCAGTGTAAAAACTATAAGCCCTATGGGAGTTTCTGCAGATGGTACCATAATGGCCTGAGGGAGGAGTATCACAGTCACAGAGTATTGGTTCTCTCACTCTGTAAGCCATGGTTTTACCCATCTTCACAGGCCAAAGGTGCTTCATAACCTTGTTCATGTATTGAGGTTCTGTTGGCTCTTGTAATGGTAATTTCACATGTGGACAGTTGTTCATATTGATGTTTCTATAGGGGTATGATAGCTGGAGAGGTCTGCACCACTGTCTTGCTCTGCCTCGATCATTATTTTTTTCTAACAAGAATTTGTCTCCTCCTAGTTTTTCTTTTTCTCTTAACCGACCTAGGTATAGCCTTTTAATCCTTCTCCCTCCTCTGCTTCTAATGTCATTGCTTCTTTGTATGCCTATCATATCTACATGCTACATGACCTTCAGCTGGTTATGTATAATATATAAGACTTAATATCCTATAAAATAGAGGTAATAATAGCATCTACTTGATAGGAAAGTTAAGAATATTAAATGACACCATTGATGTTAAATGGAGGTAACTTTCTGAAATGTATTAATGAGACATGATTCTTTGTTCTAGTCCACTTCGTAGACTAGACTACTTTGTTTGAGTTTTCTCTTTTCAGTCAGAGAAAGCAATAAAATTGTAATGGTAAAAATTAAATAAAATTTAACTTAAAATTGTGTTCTGGTCTTCTCATTGTTCAGCCGTGGAAAGCAATAAAATTGTGATAGCAGAAATTAAAAGTGAGCAGAGACTTATTTAAAAATTGGTATTCTCCTTTTCAATGCCAAAATAAGAACTAGAAACTTTTAATAAGGCAACAGTCTGAAGAAACAATTTATTGACGAGAATATGGGTTTCTAAATCCTAACAAGTTTTTTTACGTATGTGAGTCAAGTTTGGCTGCCTTGAATCCTATTATGACTTTAATGGAAGTTCTAGTTAGGGTGGAAAGTGTCAAAGAAAACAGTTGCACCAGACAAAGTTAAACACATAAAAAAGCTGTTATTGAAGACTATTGCAAAAGGGCAAAGAGGCCAGAACTTAGTCTGAACTCAGCTCCGCTGAAACAAACAGCAGTAGAGATTTTAAGAGCCAGGATGAGGGGGAGATCATAGACCACTTGTCTTTGATAGTTGTCTTTTTCCAAAGGAATATTAAACTATCTTTCATCTTTATGACAGAAGGTGATTTTACAAATTAGAGGAATATGCCCACCAAAATTTGGCTCTTACTCTCTCATGGAGTCTGGGAGATAATGGTGTTATCTTTTTTGAGAATTACATTTCAAAGGGATGGCTCTGAGGTCCTTGAAATGGACATTTCTGAAGTGTAAAACTGGCACGTGGGCTCTTAGAAAGATTTATCAAAGAGGCAGAGAAAGAATTTACAATGATAACATTTCTAAAATATGCTAAAGAAAAAAAGAGGTGAGGAGCCAAGAATCAGAAATAATCCTGTCTAAAAATTTTATCAAACTGAGGGGATGGCTTTAGTCAAAGGTTTAGTGTAAGGGGAATTTCTATGAAGAAGAGGAAGAGAAGAGCTTTTAACTACACAGGAAGAAGAAAGTTCCCAGGAGATGTGACTATGGCTCTGCCTGTGTCTCTGATCAGGTATTCAGCCCCAACATCCTCCTGGGACTCGCTCAAACAGATGGATAGGAAAAAATAGACAGTTAAAGAAAGATGAGAAAATATGCAGGCTGGTGTCTTACTTCTCTAGTGCACATAGGGTGTCCCAGGAATGACAGAGTGGCAGGACAGGGGGAAGTGCCTGAGAGATCAGTTCCCTTACTCTCAGCCTGTGAGTGCTGTCTGAAAAGCCAGTCTCTCCAAGCTTGGTGGAAGGGGGACTCACACCTGGTTTGACAGGACCAGTGGAGGCCCCTGGTGGGACATGCTGGCCTCAGAATGTGAGGTCTTGGAGGCTAGAGGAAAATGGCAGTGGGTGACCAGAAACTTCATCACTGAGTGCCAATACATGCAAAATCAAAGAGAAGATGAGCCATGTCAGCAGATATCAGTGAAGAATGCCCAGAGAAGACTCCACTGACCATACACAGCACAGACCAGCCTGTTCCAGAGGACAGTGCAAATGGCACGCCACAGCAACAGAGGCGACTTCGACCCCGCCCACGCCATCAGCAGCTCGGACCCTAGGGTCAGATACCACCACAGAGGCTAATTCCAGTGGTCGCCCCGCATCTCAGGAAGACGGGAACCTGCACTCAGCACCATCCCCGTGGCTGCACAGGGCCCAGGACTCGTAACCCGGCGCTCTGGTTGCGGGCCAAGAAAGAGCGTAACCTAGGGTGGCATGTCGGTGAACTCGGCGACCCTCTGACAACCTGGGAGCAGCCCCAACAGCCTCAGTTGTGGGCTCAGCTGCAACTGCCACCTGCCGATGGTGCACGGGAGCAGCAGCGGCAACCCTCGACCCTGTCCCCGCCACCAGCAGCACGGACAGCAGGGCCAGATAGCGCCGCGGCGCCTAAGACCTTAGGCCACGCAGCTGCAGGAGGACGTGAAACGGGCGCTGACCGCCCCCCAGAAGCTATGCAATCCCCAGCGCAGGCGAGTCCTCACTCTGGGCGCGGGCCAAAGATCAGACACTACGATGAAAGGACGGTGAACTTGGTGACCCTGAGGCTCGCAATGGGTTTAGCAGCAGCTGCCAACTGCAACCAACCCTGACCCTGCCCGCGTCACCAGCAGCAGTAACCCAGGGCCAGATGCCGCCTCAGCGGCTAATTCAGGTAATCGTCCTCCAGCTGCAGCAGGGCGGAAATCCGCTGCTCAGCCCCACCTCGGCGGCTGCACAGAGCCCAGCGCCCGCACAACCCGCTCTTGGTAAGGGCAAAGGAAGAGCGGACCTAGGGTGGGAGGACCCTGCACTCCCTGACCCTCAGGCCGTCTGGGGCCAGCCCTGCCAGCCTCTGTCTAAAGCTACGCTGCAACTGCTACCTGCTCATGGCGCGCAGCGGTGGCAAACCCGGACTCCGCCCGCCGACACCAGCGGCCTCGAAACCCTAGAGACAGACTCCACCTAGTGGCCAAAATCAGGCAGTCGGCCCACAGCTGTAGGAGAGCGGGAACCTGCCCTTCAGCGGATTCCTGGAGGCTGCACAGTGCCCAGCGCCAGCCACCCGGATCTGGGCGCGGGCAAATGACCCTCAGGCCGTCTGAGACCGGACCAGCCCTGCAGCCTCAGCGGTGGGCTCAGGGGCGACTGCCACGTGCACATGGTGAACTATAGCAGCTGTGGCAGCCCCCGACCCTGTGCAAGCCACCGGCAGTGCGGACCCCATGACCAAAAGCCGCCGCGGCGCATAACTCAGGCGGTCGGCCCCCCAGCAGCCAGAGGGCGGAAACTTGCAGCTTAGCCCATCCCAGCGCCTGCACTGTGCTCAGCGCCTGCAATCCCACTCTCTGGGAGCGGGCAAGGAAGACTGGACCTTAGGGTGGGAGGGCGGTGCATTCGGGGACCCTCAAGGCTTCTGGAATAAGCCCTTCCAGCCTCCGCTGCGGGTTCAGCTGCAGCTGCCAGCTGCACACTCCTGGAAGCAGCAGCGGTGGCAGCTCTGGTCTCTGCCAGCTCCAGCAGCAGCGCGGACCGCCGAGCCAGAGGTCACTGCGGCGCCTGTTAGGAGGTTGGCCTCTCAGCTGCAGGAGGGCGGGAATCTGCACCCAACCAGATCCTCATGGCTGCACAGTGTCCAACGCCCACGACCCTGCAATTTGGGCGCCGGCCTAGGAATAACGGACCCTGGGGTGGAAGGGCGGTGCACTCAGCCACCCTTAGGCAACCTCAGACCAGCCCTGACAGCATCTGCCTGGGACTCAGCTGCAGCTGGCACCTGCGCATGGCGCACGGCAGTAGTAGTGGCAGCCCTGACCCTGCCCTCAGACACCAGCAGCAAAGACCCTAGGGCCGGATGCCTCCAAGGCATCTAAGTCAGGTGGTCGGTCCCATAGCGCTGGGGATTGCAGCGGTCGCCCGCTGCAGCGGGGCGGAAATCGGCTGCTCAGCCCCATAGCAGCTGTGGCAGCCCTCATCTCTGTCCATGCCACCAGTAGCACGTACCCCAGGGTCAGATACTGCGGTGGCGCCTAATTCAGACTGTAGCTGCAGCAGGGCAGGACTCCGCCGCTCAGCCCCATCCTGGAGGCTGCTCAGAGTCTAGCGCTCGTACACCGCGTCCTGGGAGCAGGCTAAGGAAGAGCAGACCCTAGGGTGGTAGGGCGATGCACCCAGAGACCCTCAGGGTGTCTGGGACCAGCCCTGCCGGTCTCTGCCACGCGCTCAGCTGCAGCTACCACCGCCAGGTGGCTCCCGGCAGCAGCGGTGGAAACCCCGCTGACCTTGCCCGCCGCCAACAGCAGTGAGGATACCACGGCTGGATCCCTTGCCAGGGCGGGAACCTGCCGCTCAGCATATTCTGGGCAGCTGCACAGGGCCCAGCGCCTGAAACCCCGGGCTCTGGGCTCGGGCCAAGGAAGAGTGGACCCTAGGCTGGGAGGGCGGTGCACTCGGCGATCCTCACGCTTTCTAGGACCAACCCTGCCGGCGTCTACTGAGAACTCAGCTACAGCTGCCACCTGTACAAGGGCGCCGCAGCAGCAGAGCAACCGGGCACTTTGCCTGCACCACTAAGAGCCAGGACACCGGGGACAACGCTGCCTCAGCGCCTAATTCAGGCACTCAGCCCAGCAGCTGCAGCAGGGCAGCAACCTTTGCCCTCGGCCGAAGCACCTTGGCTGCACAGTTCCCGGTGCCCGCGACCCGGAACTCTGGGCGCAGGCAAAAGAAGAGCGTACACTAGGCTGGGACAGTGGTCCACTCCATGACCCTGAGGCTGTCTGGGAAACTCCTTGTCAGGTGATGGGCCCAGCTGCAGCAGCCAGCTGCACATGGCGCGCGCAGCAGCCTTGGAGGCAACCCCAGACCAGGCTCCTACACCAGCCAGGCGGATCCCAGGGCCAGACGCCGCCCACCGGCTAATTCAGCTGGTCAGACCCCAGCTGCAGGAGGGCGGGAGCCGGCCGCTCAGCCATTTCCTGGCTGCTGCCCTGTACCCAGCGCTTGCACACCCCGCTGTGGGCTCCAGCAAGAAAGAGCTGACTCTAGGGTGAAAGGGCCCTGCACTCAGAGACCCCCAGGCTGTCTGGGACCAGCCCTGCCTGCCTCTGATGTAGGTTCAGCTGCAGTGGTAACCTGCACAAGGCGCGCAGCAGCAGCTGTGGCAAACTCCGACCCTGCCAGTGCCACCAGCAGTGCGGACCCTTGGGCCAGAAGCCTCCACAGCGCCTAAGTCAGGGTGTTGGTCCCCAGCTGCAGGAGGGCAGGAACTGGCACTCAGCCCCACCTCAGAGGCTGCATGATGCCCAGAGCCAGGGCCCAGCTCTTCTAGCGCAGGTTGTGGAGGGGCCAGGGGCCACCCAGACTGGAGGGCAGTGTCATGATCACAGCTCACTGAAGCCTCAACCTCCCAGTTTCAAGCTATCGTCTCACCTCAGCCTCCTGAGTAGCTGGTAGCTGGGACTGCAGGCGGGTGCCATCATGTCTGGCTATTATATTTTATATACATTTTGGAGAGACAGTGTCTCACCATGTTGCCCAGCAGGTCTTGAACGCCTGGAGTTCAAGCGATCCTCCCAACTTGACCTTCCTCAGTGGTGGTGGTGGGATTATATGTGTGAGCCACTGTGCCCTACCTGCCGCTTTTCTTATAAGGATACTTGTCATTGGATTTAGGGCCCATCCTAATCCAAGATGAGATGCCCTCATCTCGAGGTGCTGGATTTAATTACATCTGCAGATTGTTTTCCAAATAAAGGTACATTCACATGTTCCAGGTAGACATATCTTTTGATAGACCACCATGCAATCCACTCTAGGAGTATTAAAGTGCCAGTGTGGACCGAGGCACCAAAGAATCACATTATTATGTCATATAACTTGCCTTATTTGTAGTGACCCGTGGGCTTGGAAACAGAACCATTTGCAGCTGTCAGGGAAGTGCACAGTGCCTGACCTTTCCCGCAGCCTCCTCCCCACTGGGCTTCCGTGAGAGGATCACCCCTTGGAGTGTCCAGAGATTCCTGTTAAATGCTAAAGACCACAGGAGAGTTTGGGCGGGGGAAGATGTTTGGGGAGCAACTTAGTTGTCCTGAGGTGCCCATCACCCTTCACCGTTTCAGCAATATGGATCTTCCAAGGATCTGGGAATGGGAACCAGGCATAAGACAGATACATGTGAGTGAGAAGAGGCCAGAGTCTTTCTCTGTGTAGGCACCATCCAGCCCAAGATGAGCATTGTTCCAGAAACACATGCACTCATGATGCTAAACCCAATCTATTGAGGACTTAATACAAACTGTGATTTTTTTAAGCATTTAATTCTTACCACAGTCCTTTGTCATCTTATTATCTCCATTTTACAGATAAAGAAACAGGCACAGAGGGTTTAAGTAACATGTACAAGGTCACACAATCACAACTAGTAAAGCCAGGATTAAAGTCCAGTCAGTCTGCATTCAAAGCCTGTGCTCCTGCCCCAAAATGACAAGTAATGACTTAAAGGCAAGAAAAACACACTCTCCTCTACCCACCATCCTCATACAGACTTCCAGCCCAGGATCTAAACCATTCATTCATTTGCTCTCATATTCATTCATTCATTCATTCAGTTCTTCATCACACATTTAGTGAAGCTCTGTCATGGAATGTCCAAACAGAAGGTACAAAAATGAGGCAGGTATATTTTCTCCCATCTAAAGGGGGATGACCACGTGAAGAGAACTGATGGGCTGTGTGTCCCATGGCCTTACAGGGCAGTGGTGGAGGGTGGCCCAGGTCATCCACTCTCTGGGGAGGCAGAACCAGAAGCACCAGTTGGACAACTGCTAAAGAGATGTTTGTGCAGCCTCATATGTTAAGTCCTATATTTTGAAAGCTTTTTAAATTTTTTCTTTAAGATTTTAGATGCTTACCACTGAGTACCAGAGGGATGTAGCCTGATGCCCTTATCAACAAAGTCAGGGATGGTGGCACACAAGGTTTGACTACTGCATACACGGTCACAGTGCTACCCCCAGATAGCCTGATTTCCCTGCCTTCTCTGGTGGGGAGAAGGGCTGGCAGAGCCATTAGCATGGGCTTCAGCCAATCCTGGCCACTTTGATGCTCCTGGTGCTGACCCAGGGTCCTGGAGTATGGGCTGAGGCGGCGGGGTAGAGATGTTCAGGGCAGTGGCCCCTTTCCATCCACACTGGAACTATTTCAGTATTTTACCACCAATTCGGCTATTCCCTTATCGGCTGGCTGAACATCGGCCCTGCTCCAGGTCTCAGTTTCCCCTTTGTAAAGGGAAAGCCCTGGATTCAGGGGTGACTAGGTCATCATGGTCTTGAGATTCCAGGCCTGTAGGCAGGGGGAGAGAGGTTCACTAGGAGTGCAGAAGACCAAGGTTGGGGAGAGGCAGAGGAGAGAGTGGCCTCCCTTTGGCCCAGGTGGGAGATTCACAGAGACAACCTTCCTTCTTCTCCAAGGCAGGACTTGTTAACAGTGAGCTTCAGGCAGTCTGGCACTTGGGACTAACTAGGATGTCACCCTCCCTGCAGCCTCCACTCCATAGACAACATGAGAGGAGTGTGTAAGTATAACTAGGAACAGGCTAGTGTCCTGATATTCTCTGTGATAGAGGGGACAGCCCTCCTCAGAGACCCGGGGGAGCCCAGAACCATGGACAGCCTGAACACACTTTACTTTCTCAGCAGTGGCAACCAGAACCCTAGCCTACTAAAGCCGAAATTAAAAGGAGAAAAACCTAAATTCCTGCCTGTACCAGGCTGACTCACATCAAGGCCCTGCTAGGATTAAGCTAACTTTATATACAAGGCCAAGCAGAGCCCAGAAGGAATGGACTCCAGGAACAGGGATGAGAAGAACAAGTTCTTCTTATCAGCTTCCCCCTTTGAGATTCTTTCCTAGGCCAGTATGTCTTTGCTCTGCTCTCATAACTATTTTTGTAACTATTTCTGTAAGTTTGTAAGGATTTTGTAAGTTCCTGTTTTCCATCTGTGCAACACTGAGAAGGTCACAAGACATGTCTGAGCAAGCCTAAAATAGTAACCATCTGCTGAGGGCCTGCTGGACGGCCCAGCAGAGGTCACCAGGCATGTTTGAGTCATACACCTGTCACTGTTTGATTAACTGCCTTTGTTCTGCTTCTGTAAGCTTGCTAAGCCCACCCTGTGAGTTTCACGCAGCTGCATGCTTAAAAACCAGGCCCCATCTTTGTTCCAGGCTCAGCCTTTTGGATGCGAATCTACTAGGCCAGTGGCCACTTTAATAAAATCCTCCTGTCTCATCCATTGGTCTCTCCAGTCTCTTGAATCCCGCAACACTACAATGGCTCCAAGACAGCATGTGGGATCTAAGTAATAACTTTTTATTTTTTTTATTTTTTTTATTTTTGTACAAGACTGGGTCTGGCTTTTTCACTCAGGCTGGAGTGCAGTGGTGCAATCACAGCTCACTGTAGCCACCTCCTGGTCTCAAGCCACCCTCCCACCTTAGCCTCCTAAGTAACTTAGGACTACAGTTGTATACCACTATGGTTGGCTAATTTTTGTATTTTTTGCAGAGACAAGGTCTCACTGTATTGCTCAGGCTGGTTTCAAATTCTTGAGCTCAAGAGATTTACTAGTCTCAGCCTTCCAAAGTGCTAGGATTACAGGCACGAGACACCGTTCCTGGCCAGTAATTTTGTTTTATTATATTAAGGTGAGGTTTATACCACATTCTTCTGGTTACAGAAGTAATACATGCTCATTGTATACACTGAAAAATGTAAGCAGTATAAAGAAGAAAATAAAAAAGGATATGAAAATCACTAGTGGTCCCATTGCCTACCGTAACATTATGTGCTGCTTCTTAATCTTTACTTCCTCTCCCTCCGTGTGTGTCTTTGTGTGTGTGTGTCTGTCTGTGTGGTTTTTTGTTTGTTTTTTTGGCACATAGTACAATAGCTGACATTTATATCTTCCCGACCAGTGTTGAGCATGGTGTTAAGCAATTGACAAAGTGTATTGTATTTAACTCCTACAGAAAACCTAAAAAGGGGAAGGGCAGTATAATTAATAGAATTTTCCAGATGAAAAGACTGGGGCCTGAGTTGAGGTTACATTTTATATATGGCATTATATTGTACTTCAGACATGTAACATAGTAAGTGTCCTGGAGAATCTTGGTCTGTTAGTCTGTATAATAACATAAGCATCTTTTGTGGGATTAATAGTTTTTCCAAAGCATGCCTGGGATGTTTGCATAATATTCTAGTGTTTAAATATGTTGCTTATTGCCAGGTGTGGTGGCTCATGCCTGTAATCCCAGCATTTTGGGAGTTCGAGACAGATGGATTGCCTGAGCTCAGGAGTTTGAGTCCAGCCTAGGCAACACGGTGAAACCCCATCTCTACTAAAATACAAAAAAATAGTGAGGCGTGGTTGGTGTGCCTGTATTCCCAGCTACTTGGGAGGCTGAAACAGGAGCATTGCTTGAACCTGGGAGAAGGATTTTGCAGTGAGCTCAGATCGTGGCACTGCACCCCAGTCTGAGCAACAGAGTGAGACCCCATCTAAAAAAAATGTTTATCAAACCATTTTCATCTTTGAAACATTTCAGGTCTCTTCTTTGGCTTTTTCGCATTATTAATAATACTGTGATAAACATCCTTCAGCAGAAACCTTCATAGGCTAGCTTCCTAGAAGTAGAGGTATTAGGTCCAAGGTTTTGAATTGTTTTAAAGCTATTGATTTATCTGGATAAAATTGCTTCCAGAGATATTGTCCCATTTTGCATTCCAATCAGTGGATCTCACCTTCAGTATTTTGTGCAATTAAAAAAAATAATGTTTCTCCTTTTAAAGATTATATTTAAAATAGCTTTTAAATATGAAAAATTTGTATCTACAAATAAGAGATAGTGACAAAAAATAAATAATAAAATAAACACAAGAGCAGAAAGTAGATTGAAACATTAAAATTCAAATCACAGGCCTCTGTTATGGAGAAGACAGCTGCAATAGCTTTTCTGTTCTTTTATCTACATTGGTAGGTTCTTCTTTTAATTAATTTTTACCCCAACTTAAGTGCTGGCTGGTTTGGCAATTTGTTGCTGGGATGGAAAGAAGAAATGTGCACCTTGTCTTTTGCAGGTTATGAGAGCCTTGTCTGTCCTTGTGGTTGTGTGGGTGTCTGTTAGATTATTGTGAATACTGAGCTTTGAAAATAACCTAACAGTCAATCAATTGCTGAGCTTCTATTACCAGTAGTGGGACATAATGTACATCATGTAGATAGGCAGGCTTGTCACTGACAAGGGGGCTGACCCCTGGAAAACCAGCACAGAGCCAGCTCTTCTGTGTGAATCCACTCTCTCCAGAATATACCATAAGTCATGGAAAGAAATAAGAGTCTCAGGAAATGAGACTCTTACCGCGATGAGAGGTGAACCTTGAAATCTATTTTAGCAATTAGGAAGAGAAGTCCCATTTCGCATCCCAAATCAAGTAGAGGCCTGCTAGTCCAAACATAGTTTCTGAATAACCTGAGTCACCTGGGCCCTGAGGAATCCTGGCCTCTTCGTCCACATTTGCAGAAATATCAGGAGGTCAATCAGGAAGCTGGTTAGGCAGCTCAACACAGGGTCAGAAAGCTCCTAGGTATGCAAATAAATGTGCACACTGGAAATTGAGTTCTGTAATTTTTCCATGACCTAGAAAACTATGATGATGAAAATGTTCTACATTCATGCTGCCTAGTTCAGTAGCCACTAGCCACATGTGGCTATTGAGTAATTGAGATGTGGCTAGTACAAGTGACCAGCTAATGTTAAATTTTGTTTTATTTGAATTAATTTTAATTTTAATAGTCACCTGTGGCTATTGGCTACTGCACTGGATAGCACAGAGATGAGAAATAATAGAAACCTTTTTTGTTGTTGTTTCAATGGCTAACATTGTCAAAAGCTGAATTCCTGTTTTATGTAAAATTTTGGTTTATATTTTCTCAAAGAAGGGAAGTACAAAAAACAAAACAAAACAAAACAAAAGGATGATCAAGCAGAACTTTGGTAAGGAAGGGTGAAGCAGAGACACTTAACTCAGAGTGGGGAAAACAGCAATGACCTTGTTTGAAATGCAGCTCCTGTCTATGTGGCTCTCTGTGCTCTGTTGGGGTGTCAGTTCTTTACTTCTTAGTTAAAGCAGTTATTTCGGCGGTGCAATGCATTTTTGTTCAATAAGCATGACTTTTTACACAGCTGGTTTATCTCCAGTATGGAAACTCTCTGCTTAATCATCTTGATTTCTCTGGGCTTGTTCCTACTCTGCAGATTTAAGCATGACACTTGTATCTCTCTCTCCAGGCTCTGATCTAGGATGACAGCTTCTATGATGTGCCCATCTACAGAAATATGCAAATTGCAAATTTAGGAAGATTAAAAGAGGGCCCTGCAAAAGGCATCTACAGGCCCCATGTGCTGTTCACCTTTCTTATTTATTGGTGAAGTGAGTCCTCATCCATTTATTGGGCAGTTGCAAGCAAAGGAATTAACTATGACAATTCACCTTGATGTACAACAATTTAGTCTGTTTGGAGTTTCCACTGTTGGAAAAAACCTAGTTATCCTAATTAAGAACAGTTACAGATAGTATAGTGATAGCTTTTTTTTTTTTTTTTTTTTTTTTTTTTTTTTTTTTTTGAGACAGGGGCTTGCTCTGTCACTCAGATTGGAGTGGAGTAGCATGATCATGGCTCACTGCAGCCTCAACCTCCCTGGGCACAGTGATTCTCCCACCTCAGTCTCCTGAGTAACTGGGAATACAAGCACATGCCACCATGCCTGAATATTTTTTCTATTTTGTTTTGTTTTATTTGTTTTGTTTCGTTTTGTAGAGATGGGGTTTTGCCATGTCACCTAGGCTGGTATTGAACTTCTGGACTCAAGTGATCCTCTCTCCTCAGCCTCCCAAAGTACTGGGATTACAGGTGTGAACCAGCATGCCATGCCTATAGTGATACCTTTAAGTAACCCTCTCTTTTCTTCTTTTGGGCAATTTTTCAAAGCAACAGGCACTTTATTAAATAAGAAAGTTGATGTGCTTTCCTAATGCCTGCTAATAAAGTAAAGAACCAAGGAACCTCTGTGATTTCAATGAAATCCCTCCAGATGTTATAGGCTACTTGTTACAGACAGGTATGGTAGGAAGTGTGGTCAAGCTGTGATAGGCAAATAGATCTTGCTGAAGAGGAAGAATGATTGGCTAAGATAATGTCCCAGGACAGCTGGCATACCTTTAGACACAGCTAAATTGAATGCTTTCTGAGGATGAGTGTATTAGTCTGTCTCACATGCTATAAAGACATACCTGAGAATGGGTAATTGAAAAAGAAAAGAGATTGAATTGGCTCACAGTTCTGTGGGCTGTACAGACTTATGCTTATAGGGAAGCCTCAGGAAACTTACAATCATGGCAGAAGGTGAAAAGGAAGCAAGCACATATTCACATGGCTGAAACGAGTCAGGGGAGGTGCTTTTTAACTTTTTAAACAAGCAGATCTTAGGATAACTTTATCATCAGACAGCACTAGGGGGATGAGGCTAAACCATTAGAAACCACCTCCATGATGCAAACACCTTCTACTAAGCCTCTCCTCCAACACTGGCAATTACAATTCCACATCAGATTGGGGATGGGGGGGTGCACAAATCCAAACCATATCAAGAAGCATGTTAAAAATTGAGGGAAGTTCTAATCAAATGACAAGTCAGGACACGGCATTCCATCAACATAACACTCCTCTCAATACATTCCAAAGTGGGAGAAAGGAAAAAGTGCAAGGATGAAGAAGGGACACAGCAAAATGACAAGATGACTAACAAGATGACCCCTGTGGAAAGCATTTACTGATTCAACAACCAAATAATGAAGACAATAGAGCAAATTTGCTGAGTTTCTATGCTCTTGATGTTTATTAGGGAAGGGCAAAAGCCAGTCCCTCGACATTGTTACTGTTAATTAACATCATCACTGCCTGCTCTTAAGTGTCTAGATACTTTCAAGAATCTAGTATTATCTTCACTTAAATGTTTCTTGGATGTGCCCTGTCATGCATGTGATATTGCAAAAAGATTCTACATTAACCACAGCAAGATGGCTATGTAATAATTGGGATCACGTTAGGGGAG
The DNA here is from genome assembly GCF_000001405.40 of Homo sapiens. NCBI lineage: Eukaryota > Metazoa > Chordata > Mammalia > Primates > Hominidae > Homo > Homo sapiens. The sequence continues at coordinate 21,363,339 of NC_000015.10, forward strand.
CATATTTCTACCACATTTTGAGATGGAAAATGAAGTAAAGATATCCATTTGTCAATTTCTTCTACATTATGCCAAACATTCAAAGAGATTATTTTATTTATTTCAAAGATGTACACATGTTGAAATTAAAATTTAAATTAAGAAAATTTATAAACTGAGTCAAAAGAAAAGTAAGCGAGGCAGTTCTGCATGCCCTGAAGTGTCAGGCATATATGACTAAAGTATTCGGCATTTGGCCAGGTGTGGTAGCTCATGCTGTCATTCCAGGATGTTGAGAGGCTGAGGCAGGTGGATTGCTTGAGCTCAGAACTTTGAGACCAAGCAAGGCAACATGGTGGAACCCTATCTCTATGAAAAATATGAAAATTAGCCAAGCATGGTGGTGCTCGCCTTTTCATACCAGCTACTGGAAAGGCTAAGGTGAGAGGATCATTTGAACCCAGGAGGTCAAGGCTGCAGTAAGCTCTGGTTGCACCACTGCACTCCAACCTGGGTGCAAGAGGGGGACCCTCTGCCCAGGACTCTTGGGATATGACTATACCCATAGGGACTGCCCGCAGTAACCTCACATTTGAGTGGAAGTGGAGATCATATGTACCTGTACCAATATGTAGTGAAAAAGGAAAACATAAGAAATCATGGCAGAAATGGCACAAAGTATAAAAGAGGCTTGGTGTAATTGAGAGAGGCATTCTGGTGATAAAATTTGAACTGATTTCTGGAGAATGGGTTGAATTCCAATAGAGGGAGATGGACCAAAGTTAACTCTGATGAGGGAAATGTCTTGAGCAAAATCTAGAAAAGGGAAACATGCTCATTTTAAGTGTTAATGAGGGTCCAGTTGGGGTACAGTGCAGGAAGAGAGTTCTAGTGAAAAGGTAGTTGGTCTGATAGGACAGGGTCTTGCAGGCAGAGGCAGATACTATCATTATTCCATTGTTCAGGTTGGAAAACAGACACAGAGAGCCCAAGGTCACAAAGCCAGAAAGTGAATCTGGGCAGTCTAGTGGTAGCACCCTCTTCTTAAATGATCTATTAAAGGGCCTCTTCTCCAGGCACTCTAAAACTCTTCTCCATCTTTAGCTCCCCCAGAGTACAGTGAGGTCCCCTGTCTACCTCACAGGATGGGGTCTCAGAAAAGCAACAGATCCCAACTCATACTAGCTTTTAAATAAAAAAAAAAAAAAAAACACCTTGCAAAACAAGAAGTGCAGAGGTTGGGAGAGAGCCAGCACTGGTTAATTCAGCAGCTCAACAATAAATCCAAGACCTGGGTATTGGTTCACCTCTCCACACCACCATCCTCATGGGCCAGCTTCTACCTCCTCCTGAATGCTGTGTCTTTGCCTAGTTTTCTCCCTGATTTTAGCTCAAGTGCTGCTTCCTGGGGGCAACCTTTCCTGCCTCCCTCTTGGGGTCAGTCCACCTTCCCAGGCTCTTGCAGCACCCCTGGGTCTGCTGAACTTTCCCTTGTTACATAATTCTGTGACTAACATCACCTCTTTCTGTTAGACTCTCAGCTCCACTAGAGAAGAAATTCTGTGCATTTTTGCTCACTATTGAACCCTGGAGTCTACTACTCAAATATTTGTCAAATGAGTAAATGGTAGCTCTGTGCAGGGCCAAGGAACACAAGAACCACAAGAAACATGCAATCTGCCAAAATACTCATTACAGCTCACTCTCCTCTGGTGACATTTCCCTGAGGCACATTCCTGTTGGTTTCTTCCCCTCAAGAAGCATTCTTCTTTCTCCTTCCTATAAAAGCCAGGATTTTCTCAGATAGCCACACCATGCCCCATGCAAAGAGATTTGGATTATTCTATCATCTTGAGGCATTTCTGTGGAAACTGCTGTCAGTCCAGGTGGCCCATGACCTAAGCTGACCCAAGCCGACTGAAGGGAGGACGTATTCTATGCACCCTATGCAGTTCCACAGGGTGCTGGTTGTCCCGGCTGCTGCTGGTGGTCTTCATGTAGCCAAGGTATCACTAGTGCATATGGAGAAAACAGAGCAACTGGAGAGAAACCGAGTAGGTAAAAGTGGGCAGGGCTTGGTGATGTTTGGGGATATGATATGAGGGATAAGACAGAGGATGGTCTTAGGAAAATCTCCTGTATTTTCCTTTTGGACAATGGTATAAATGAATAAAAGTTCCAATCACTGGGATAGAAAACACTTGGAAAATATGAGATTCATTCAGGCAAGCCTTTCATACACTATTCCATAATCAGTTTCATAAGTGAAAGGGAGTCAGAACTCATTTCTACCTTGTTTGCTTCTATCATACTGTGTTGTACCCTGTTGGATCTACTTATCACATTCCTCCTGCTAGTGGACTTACCTGCTAATGTTTGCACTTCTGCCTTGCCAGCATGGAACCTCTGAGACAACAGGAGCAGTGTGTGTGCATGCATGTGTGTGTGCACTTTTGTGTGTGTGTGTGTGTGTGTGTAATTGGATTCCCCACAGCACATTATTGTTTTATCCATAGTAAATGGTGGATGAATATTTGCAGGATTTAGCTGGACTGCAGCATTGTGGAGGTCAGATAACCACATTTTGACAGACAAGTTGCATTCTAACCTTGAAGCAGACAAAATGCCCATCTTATCAGCCTCGCTCACATCAGCTGTGCCTTTCCTTTGTGGTTGTATGTTTATGAAGCTCATCCAACAAGCTTCTTAAAAAGGGGATTGGACCTTCGCCAGCCTCAGGCTGCATGGCAGGGTGACTGTGTCTTTGAATATCCCAGATGGAGGCTGGTCACCCTTTTGTCTTTGGGTGAATAGACTACTCAGGAAGGCAGGGATGCAGGCACCCCCATTTCTTGTTAATGAGTTTGCAATTTATTTTGGCAGATCTAAAATAATAATTCAAAGGCAGTGTAGAAGAAGATGGGGACATTACTTTTAATTGTTTAATATTGTTATGACATGACATGTGCTTACAGAAAGAGAGGCAAGCCACCATCTTCAAGGGAGGGCATAGTCATCGACTGTGATCCTGGTGTCCATGTTGGAATATCATGGCAACTGTCTCCCAGCACTGAACTCGATGACTTCTGCTGCATTCCCAGTGTTAGCTGAGTTGCTTAATTTACTTTCTTCAACGCCATGTGTGAAAGGGAAGCTAGAAAACTGCACTATGTATGGCTTCGTGCACTGAAAATTTGACATTATCAAAGGAGGCATGATCTTGTCTCTCTCCATCCCTCTCCAAATGTTTTCTATAATTATATTCAGAGGCTCATGGGTCTTACCATGGGTGATCAAGGAAGGGCTGGTAACTCTTTCAACCACAGGTAAAATATTACAAACATCTGAAATATGCATTTTTACAGGTGAGAGAAATGAGGCCAGAAAAGTTAAGTGCATCATGTTGAGTACAATTTTATTTGGTGATCAGGCAGCCCTGGGTTCAAATCCTGGCTCTATTGCTACCAATTAAGCCACTTAACTCCATCTGAGCCTCAGGTTGCCCATCTGCATAATAAGCAGTAATAGCAGCTGTCCTGCAGGACTACTGTGAGAATTACAACTCAGGCAATGATCATGATATTTCTTGGCACAGAGGTGTTCACTACCTAGGTAGTGTTATTATTATTAGGCCTAAAGTCACAAAGGGAGTTTTTGAGAACGCTGGAATGAAAACTTGTTCCTCTCAGCTCTGAGCTTATTAGAGCCCACCGTTTTGCATGAATAAAGCAGCCCTGGAGTCTCTCAGGGGAGGGTGTTTGTAACATCTGTTCAGGCACGGTTTCATTTGCTATATACCCAGAGACTAGCACGGTACAAGTTGTGGGGAGATACTCATGTGAGTTGGCGGACTTTGGGTCAAATATTTTCCCTAAACCCAGGTCTCTATGGCATTCTACAGTACACTCTGCATCCTTCTAAGGGACACTGGAAGAGCAAATGGATTGTACAGTGAGTTACAAATAAAATGGCCAATCTCAGCATGAAAGGCTGGGGGTGTTACCTGAATGAGGATGCAGACCACTCCATCTACATACAAGCAAACCTAAGCGACCATGAGCCTGCCGGAAAGAAATCACATGCTATGTAAAGGCTTAGTAACAGTGATGAATATTTGAACTTGAACTCCAGCTCCAGAGCAGTTCAGTGGCCTCTCTTCCAGGAACAGAAGCCAAAGCAGCTCAGGATTCTTGAAGGCTCTGAAAGGTCAATGACAATCCTGGTATATGTCAAGACTTTCCCACCAAAGAAGGGCTCCATGTGTAGAGACTTAGAAAGGATTCCCAACTTCCGCCCCTTCAAAACCAGAAACAAAGGTGGGGGACAGCCCAATTAAGTGGCCCTAGAGATTTGCCCAGGAGCTGGAGCCCTCCGGAGAAGTCCAGTTTTCCTATGCAGGGAGAGGACTGGGAGTTCTCTGGTCACAAGCGTTCTGCCTTTGTTTTCATGAAGCTATGTCTCTTACCTGGTAAGAAAAATGGAACTTCATGCAGCTGCTGAAAACTTTAACCAAAACCCAAAGATGCTGGCACAAAGAAAGGAGGCCTGAAGAAAACAAGTGACCATGGAAACACATTTAGCTCTTAATCTGACCAATTTCTCATGGGCCAGGCCTGGTGCCAGGAATGCTGTGATGAATAAGGCCTGAGCTGAGATTGTGAGGATGAGACGGAGTCCACCCTGTGGGGATCTGGGATGATAGAAGGGCTCCGCAGATAGAGGACCCGGTGGCCAGAAGTTCTGCTGAGTGGAAAAGGGCTCGGAGTAACTGAGGTCAGCTGGATTCCTTAAACATTGCCCAGAGCCCTTGAAGCCATCTAAGGGCACACTTCTGAGGCCTGCTCCGAACCACACTCAACTGGGAATCTTTTAAGGACAGCTGCTCTGTTAGGCTTGCCTGAGATGGTGCAGTTTTCCCCCGCGGCGGCAGAGGCACAGACAGTTAAGAATGCAGGAGCGGGGCCTCACAATGCCTTGGACTAGGGCAAAGGAGGACCCCCGCCTCTCCCCTCCCGGGGCTAAGACATGGGAGGACCCCGACCGGTGGATCCATTGACTCTGGCACCAGAGGATCCCCGCTCTCCAGCGCCCTAGACTGAGGCAACAGAAGACCTCAGACCTGCTCCATCCTGAACTAGAGCACAGTGGGACCCGCGACCTGCCGTGGTCTCAGGCACTGGAGGACACCTGCAACGCCGTGCGCTAGACTATGCTACTGAAGGACCTCTACCGCGGCTCAGCCCTGGACTAAGGCACCGGAGGATCCCCGCCCTGCCCCGCCCCGCGGTGTCCTGGACTGTGCACTGCAGAACCCCCACCCTTCCACACCCTGGACTCTGGCTCCCGAGGACCTTGGCCCCGGCTCGCCCTGAACTACTCCTGCCCCTCAGCGCCCTGGACTGTGGTTCCAGAGGACCTGGTCCTGGGGCAACTTGTGCTACCGCGTGGACTCCAGGACCCCAGTCCTTCCACGCCCTAGACCAAGGCACGGGAGAACCTCTGACTCGCCGCCCCCGACCTAGGGCACCAGAGGACCCACACCTTGCCGTGCCCCGGACTACAGCACGGAAGGACCCCCGATCCGCCGGGCACTGGGCTCCTGCACAGAGGGACCCCCGCCATGGAGGTCTGGACTACCCCTGCCCCACCGCACCCTGGACTACTGCACGCCAAGACCCTCGCCTGAACACGCCCTACACTCTGGCATGGGGGAACCCGGCCCCGCAGAGCCCTGGACTCTGGCATTGGAGGACTCCTCGGCTAGGTTCTGGACTCCTGCACCAGAGGACTCCTGCCCTGCCACACCCTGGACACCTGCACTAGAGAACCCTGCCCCGTCGCCCCCTAGACTATGGCACGGGAGGACCCCTGCCACCGACTTCGGCACGGTAAGACCCCTGACCCGCCTTGCACTGGATTCCAGCACTGGAGGACCCCCTGCCACGGCGCTCTCTGGACTACCCCTGCGCCACCGCGTCCTGCACTACAGCACAGCAGGACCGCCGTCCCACCGCGCACTGGACTGAGGCACAGCAGCACCCGGGCCTCGTGGTTGGTGGACTGCAGGACGAGGTGACCCCCCGCCCCGCTGCGCGTTGGACTATGGCACAGGAGGACCACCATTCCCGCATGCCCTGGACCACTGCAGGACAGGTCCCCCACTCCGCAGCGGCCTGGAATATGGCACTGCAGGACCCCCGCCCTGCTGCTCCACGGACTCCACCACTGAAGACCCTCGCCCCCCTGCACCCTGGACAAAGGCACGGGAGGACCCGGCTTCACCGCCCAGTGGGCTATCACATAGGAAAACCCCCAGCCCACCCCCATCGCGCCAGAGACTCTGACAAGAGAGAACCCCTGCCCCCTGCTCCCCGGACTACAGCAAGGCAGGAACCACCCTCCTCCAGGATCCTCACTATGGCAACTGTGGAACCCCGCCCTGGTACGCCCTGGACTAAGTCACCGAAGGACCCCGACCCCACCACACCGTGAACTCCAGCACTGGAGGACCATTGCCTTACTGCGGACTCAAGCACTGGACTATCGCAGGGCTGGATCCCTGTCCCGCCATGCCCTACACTATGGCACGGGAGGACCCAGCCTCACTGAGCTCTGGACTCCAGCACCGGAGGACACCTACACGGAGGACTCCTGCTCCGCCACGTCCTGGACTCCTGCACAAGAGAACCCCCGCCCCGCGGCACCCTGGATATAGCAAGGCAGGAATCCCGCCCTGCAGTGTTCTGGACTGCGGCACCTGAGAATCCATGCCCCATCGCGCCCTGGACTGCTGCTCCACAGGACTCCTGTTCCACTGCACCCTGGACTATGGCACCAGAGGACCCAGCCCCTCGCATCCTGGACTATGGCACCAGAGGACCCAGCCCCCTGGCGTCTTGGACTAAGGCACAGTAGGACCCCGCAGCATCGTGTACTCCTGCACAGGAGGACCCTCGCAGGGCTGCGTCCTGGACTGAGCTACTGAAGGAGCCTCACCCCTGCCTCACCCTGGTCTAAGGCACTGGAGAACTCTTGCTCCACAGAGCTGCGGACTCTTGCACGAGAGAACCTGCGCCCAGCCGTGCCCTGGACTGTGGCACAGTAGGGCCCACACCGGGCCATGGACTCCTGTACTGGAGGAAGAGTGGTGATAAATGTCCAGGTTTACAAGTTGAAAAGTAGCAGTCAATGTGCTACAATGGATGGATTTGATGTAAAATTACAAATGCTGAAAACATTATGTGTAATTGCCTAGCCAGATCAATTACACAAGACAAAGAAATAAAAGAAATCCATATAGGGAAGGAAGAGGTAAGATTGTTTCTGTTTTCTGAAAATATAATCTTAAGATACAGAAAATCTTTTTTTATTATTAATGTTCTATTTACTTATTTTTATAATATTTTATAAATAAACTTTATTCATATAAAACAGGCCAAACATCTGACATTCAAAAATGGCTACTGTTATAAAATCAGAAACATAGTCAGAGTGTTGGGAATATTGAAATTTCTAAATCTTTATGAATAACACAATCACTTAAGTTATATCCACAAAGAACAGAAAAGAGGCAAGCTTGAAAATATGAGGATAGAAAGATGTCACAGTGATGTGTTTTTAGAAACAGTACCTTCACCTCTAAGCAACTTTCAGGTAGGTGATAGCTAGCTCATAGGCACCAGAAATTCATAACAGAAATTAAATTACCCAAAAGGCACAGAAGAAAATGTTAACACAAGTATAAAAGTAATTTTATGTAAGGTTAAAACCTATTTTTAAAATGCTTCCAAATATGTAAAACTATACACAAGTCCATTACACATTCAGCTTAAGTTTACCATTAAAAAGTGTACACACAATACTGTAACTGTAAATACATGCCACCGTTTATAATGTAGCATTTACCACCACAGCACCCAAAGATATTAACAGAAACCAACTCCCCACTAAAATCTAGGGAAAGGTTTTAGAGCTAGTGAAATAATTTATTGCAGACCGTATTTATTATAAAGAAACTATTGGCTCATTCTACTGTATCCACACTCCCTCACAATCTTAAGGGAGATACAATAAGTCCACTCTCTTCTCCTAAAATGATATTTAGCACATTTGACAAGGAGGAGTGGTTGCTTTATTCCTTTTTCTTATCTTTTTTTCTTTTTCTTTTTTTCTTTCTTTCTTTTTTTTTTTTTTTTAAGAATAAATCACTTTCACAAAACTGAGACTCAAACTTTTTTGAAGCTCAGCTTGATTTGCTGGAACTACACAGAGACATGTTTGATCACACAACAGCAACTGTACATCCTCCCAAGTCTGGAATACGGAATTGATGGAGGACACTTACTTGCTTAAAATGTATTTGATTATTCTGCATTTATGATAAAAATATCATCCAGGGATCATATTCAAGAGGGTAAATTTAGGATTACATGTTTCTAGAACATATAATATGTAATGCCATCCAAAACCAACAACAAACAACATAGAGCACTGAAACCGAAGAGCCACTTAAAATTTAGAATTAGGAAATTTCAATCTATAATTGTCAAACAATAAGTGAGTTATAATATTTTTCTAATTAGAAAAATATCACCTAAAGTGGAAAGCCAGCATTTAGTTGGGGACTATGAGATACTACATCCTTGGTCTGGCTGGCCACCATTTTAAAGACCACCACAGATCTCAAGGCATGAGACCTCTCACCAACAAAATCTATCCCTGCTATTGCACCTAGTGCCATCTCAATATGTGGCAGACAGCAAATGTTCTAACTTAATCTGATAGATGCTCCTTTAGCATATAAAAGAGCTTGCTAAGTCCCTATTACCTGTAGCAGTCTATCAACTAAATATTTAAGAAGTCATTTCATAGGCAAGGTTTATGAATGACTTAGAAGTAAAATTAGTAATTTCTAAATCACTGTAGTGTTTTCTATGTTTTTAGAGATATTCCTAACACAGAGTTTTCCGAGGAGCTGTGAAAACAAGTACAAACGTACATAAGTAATTTTGTCAGGGATGTTTCTGTACTAATTTGGGGGAGACTTGTGGGCCATAAATAAATGAGATACACATCCTAAAAATAATGGTAAAAATTATCAAGTACCACTTTCAGATGGTTACTCAAGTATCAACTTGGTATGCAAGTAAGTTCACCGATTTCTTCACCTATGATTTCATACTCAAAGTGCTACATCTTACTTAGGTACTGATAACATTTAGAAACCTTTATAATCAGCCTCTTAAAGAAAATCCAGCCTTTTCAGATGGTAAACTTGTCTTTACTAACTTTAATGCCCGTAACTATTTCGATATAACCAAACAAAAATTTTTAAAAATATATTCCTTACAGCTCCTGATTAACTTATTTTCTGATACATTCTGAGGCTAGTAACAAAATTTAGACCAGAATAGGTTTTCATATATCAAAAAAAGGAAAGGAACACGGAGAGCACAGATGAGATGTATGGAGGCTCTATACTATAGACCCATCCTTGCTCTGTGCGGGAATCATCACAGGAATCGCGCCCATTCGACTTAGATTAGGGGCAGCTACCTTAGCAGGTGGGAGAGTCGGACTCTGAGGAGTGCGTTCAAAGTCTTCACTTGGTACTTGTTTATACTGAGTCTTGGAATATCCTTCCATGTTGGAAGGAGATATGGATCCCAGGGATGAATGATTACTGCCTATGTAGCTTCTGGCAGTGGACGTGTGGCTCTTTGGAGGCGGCACATCTTCCTTGATATCGTGATGAACTTCCTTTTCATATTTTTCTTCTCTGCGCTTTTTACGACAGCAAAAGATGATAAGACCAATGAGCACTAGAGCAAGCAAAGTTCCTATAATGGCTCCTGCAATTAGTCCAGCTTTATTTGAAGGAGGGACAACGTTTACACGCAACAGGCACTGATCAGAGCCCACTCTGTTTCTGATGTACAGCTGTATGTCCCAGAGTACTCAGAAGAAGCATTTTTACAGATATAACAGATGAAGTCATTTCTGCTAACCATGAAGTGGGCATTTTCTGTGAGTCAGACAATTTTTGCCACTCATACTGTAATGGAAGTGAACCTTCTTTTGGTTCACATTTTAATTTAAAGTCACTTCCAATTTCTTCTGATCCATCAACGTAACATCTTGTACCTGAAGGCTTACCAAGAACTACCAGCTGAATCTTCCTATTTGCAACACCAGGAGCTCTTTTCACTTTGCACTGATCTGTGCCAATATCTGACAGCTGAAAATTCGTTACATTTATTGATGCATCACCAGATTTGAGATCATTACTCTTAAAATGTACTCGGCCTTTCAGATCTGGATAGTAGTCATCATAATTTTTGTCTCCAGAATATAAAATAATCACTTGATCCACCTTCTGATTATCAGCTGGTGATATCAGCCACTCGATGTCCAGTGGTCCCTGGTCTTCAGGACTAAGCGTAAATTTGCATGGCAGATAGGCAGTTTCCCCTTTGGCTTTTTCAATCATCTGCTCAGGAGTAGTGATACTCCAACCTCTGATGAAATCCGCGACTCTGCACAGGAGCACGAAGCGCAGCAGGAGCGCCACGGTGGCTGCCGTGCCGTGGGCGGCGGCTGCAGGTAGGCGGCTCTCGCTCCAGGTCCTAGGCTCCCCGCGCCTGGCGCACTCAAGGTAGAGAAAATCTTAAAGACTCCACCACAATAAACGGTTAAAGCTGATAAAGAAATTCAATAAAGTTAATAGTTACAAAATCATACAGATAGCATTATTGTTTCTATACATTAATGACAAACTATTACCTGAAAAATAAATTAATGAGGCAATTCAATTTATAATAGAATCAAAACAGATATAAAAATATGTAAAAGACTTAGGAGTAAATTTAATCAAGAATGTGAAAGATTTGCACACTGAAAACTATAGCACATTGATGAAAAAAGTTAAAATGGCATAAATAAATGGAGAAACATCCTTTATTGATTGATTCAAAAATTAGTATTGTAAAAGTGTCAATGCTACCCAAAGCAATCTACAGATTAAATGCAACCACTATCAAATTCCCAGAAATAGAAAAATTACTGCTAAAATTTGTATGAAACCACAAAAGACCCTGACTAACCAAAGCAATCTTGAACAAAAAGAATAAAGCTGGAGGCATCAGACTACCCGATTCCAAACTATATTACAAAGCTATAGTAATTAAAACAACATAGCAGTGGCATAAAAACAGACATGTAGAACAGTGCAAAGGGATATAGAACCCGTAAATAAATCCGTATGTCTGTGGTCAATTGACTTTTTGATAAAATAACTAAAAATACACAATGAAGAAAGAAAATTATTTTCAATAAATGGTGTAGAAAAAACTGACTATCCACATACAGAAGAATAAAATTTGACTTTTCTTTTGCTCTTTATACAAGCATGAAATCAAAATTAAAGACTTAAATGTAAAACTACTACAAGGAAATATAGAAGAAGACTGTATGACATTGGCCTGAGCTATGATTTTCTGTAGATTATTCCAAAAGCACAGGCAACAAAAGCAAAAACACATGAATGAGATTGCATAAAACTAAAAAGCTTTTCCACAGGAAAAGAAGTGATAATAGAATGAAGAGAACCCACAAATGGGATAACATTTTTAAACCATACATCAGATAAGGGGCTCATATAATAATATATAAGTAACTCAACCTACTCAAACATAAGAATAAAACTATGCTTATTAAAAAAAATAAGCAAAGAACCAGAATAGACATTTCGTAAGGCATACAAAAGGCCAACAGGTACATGAAAAAATCATAAACATTTCTAATTATCAGAGAAATGCAAATCAAAGCCACAATGAGATATCACCTCACACATTTTACTAGGGCTATTATAAAAAAAGATGGAAGATAAGTGTTGATGAGGATGTGGAGAAAAAGAAACCCTGTGCACTGTTGGTAAGAATGGAAATTAGCACAGCCATCTTGGAAAACAGTATGAAGCTTCCTCAAGAAATTATAAATATATTTACCCTATGATCCATCAATCCCACTTCTGGATACGTGTCCAAAGGAATTTTAATCAGTATGTCAAAAACAGACATCTGCAATTTCATGTTCATTGCAGCATTATTCATAATACCCATGAATTAGAAACAACCTAAGTGCTTATCAACTGAAGACTAGATAAAAATATGTGGAAAAATTGGAACCCTTCTACACCACTGGTGAGACTTTAAAATGTAAAGCAGTCTCGCAGTTCTTCAAATGGTTAAACATAGAGTTATCACGTGACCCAGCAATTCCACTCCTATGTGTTTACCAAAAAGAAAATAAAACAAATGCTACACAAACAGTAGTACACAAATGTTTATAGCAACACAAAGTAGAAAACAACAGAAATGTTCATCAGCTGAGGAGTGGATAAATAAAATGTGGTGTGTCCATAAAATAGAATCTTATTTAGCAAGAAAAGGTAAAAAACTGTTAATGCATGCTCCAAAATGGATGAACATTAAAAATATGTTAGGTGAAAGATGTGAGTAAAAAGTGACTATGTGTTATTATAATTCCATTTATGTGAAATGTCCAGAATAGGCAAATTCATAGTCAGAAAGTAGACGAGTGGTTGCCTAGACTAGGAGGGGTTTAAAAAAGACTGGAGAAAATGGGGAAAGATTGCTAATGGGCGCAAGTCTCTTTTAAGGAAAATAAAATGTTCTAAAATTATATTATGATGATTATTTGTCCATCCAGTTAATATACTAAAAGAATTTGAAGTTTGTACTTTAAATGAGTGAATTACACAATGTATAAATTATATCTCAATAAAGCTGTGGAAAGTTAAAAGTATATGTAGGATGCATACAAAAATACTACTTATCTTTATAAATGAATGAAAATCTGTCATTTGCAAAAACATGGATGAATTTAGAGGACATTATGCTAAGTAAAATAAGCCAGACACAGAAAGACAAATATCTCATGGTATCACTTATATGTGAAATCCAAAACTGTGCACTCATAGAAGTTAAGAATAGAATGGTGGTTTATCAGAGGCTGAGCAGAGTGGGGGGCAGGGGTGGAAAAAGGGGAAATATTGAATGGGATAATGCTTCAGTTAGGAGAAAGACATTCTGGTGATATGGTGCACAGCAAAGTGACTGCAGTTACTCATAATGTAGTGCATATCTTAAAAGTGCTAAAATAGTACATTTTAAATGTTTCACCATAATGTAATACATATCTGAGGTGAAGGATACGTTATTTAGCCTAATTAGACCATTTCACAATATCTACATGTATCGTACCACATTGTACCCTATATATATTTATTTATCAATAAAATCAACATTTTAAAAAGTGAGGAACACAGATGTGCTAGATCTTCATCTAAAGACATTTCTGAGAAAAGTGTATCTGTTTTCCTTCAGAAGAAATTTACACTTAATAGATATTATGGTAACTAATGTAAGGCAGATAATTTTGGCCATCAGCTTTTATTGTGGGATAATCTCTTTTTGCTGACCTTGTAAAAGCTGTGGCATATTAACAAGTAGGAACATTTTTTTTTATCATGATCAGGTAAAGATTCTGCAAGTTTCTATTTTGAATATTTCCCCAGGAATCACAAAGTGTGAATGCCTTTTATTTCAGAGGTCTAGCCCTAAATGGTTTAGTCAATTACATCATGCATTCTGAAATAAGTACTGGTGCATTTGGGAAGGTACTATATATAATTGTGTTTTAAATTTAACTATCATATAAATCTACTTTTCTAGTTAACAGTTTATATTTTATAGAGGCCCTCCATATACATAAGAGCTTTTCTGATAGTATATCCATTAGATTTCAAAGATAAGTAAAGGAACAATTTTGCTTTTATTTATTATTATTATTATTTTTTAAGGCTAGTCAAGTGAAGCAGTGGGAGTGGAGAAGGAACTGCTTTAATTTTTATATGTTGGTGTTACAGGCTATATGTGACAGGCTGTATATTTTTCTGCTGAATTTTAGAAACAAAATGAAATATTTATTTCCTATTTCATTAGATTTAGGGATGATGATTACATTGAGGGGTTGGGACTAGACTGAAGGCACCACATCATCAATCACTTGGAAACAATATTTTGCCTATGTGTTATGTTATATTGACAAAAACTTTTATTGTGGCAGGCAATATAGCTCCCTATTGAAATATGTGAAAAATGTAGAGAAAAAAGGACAATATTAGTTATCAAGGGATATTTAGGCCTGAGATGCATGATGCTAATATTCAAAACATACACTTTTTAAAAATTAGATTTAAAATGTAAATTGAAGCAGAACATTTAGAAAAAGACATAATATCTACTATAAAAGTCCTGGGTTAGAAAAGTTAAAATGCTAAATGAAAAAATAATGCTTCTTGGGTGGCTTAAAATCGAATATGAGACAAAAGATTACTCAGAAATTTTTCTAAGATTAAAAACGTGTATACAGTTTCTTTGATATAAAATGAAATAAATGTCTGGATATAACTTTAACAGAATAGAATAGGGAGACAAGGGCAACGAGCAGGTGTATGTAGAATAAAGTGAACATATTATTGTAATAATGAGAGGGACAGAGTTGAATGATTGCTCTTGGAGACAAGGGATTTTGATGTCTAAGTTAATGACAAATCTTTTGTATGCAAGTTTAAAAATGTAACTTAAACCTGGTGAAGGAATAAAGGGTGGTTGGAGGGATGATTCTTTGTACACTAAACTTATTTTAATGACTAATGAATTAATCATAAGTTCAAATGATTTTATGGAGGCCCTTTCTTTATTTGATATTTCTGGACTCCTTTTTTCTTTGTGTGTGCTCCATTTTTACCTACTTGAACAATTTTTACCCCCAAAGTTTAGGAAACACTGTAACCAAATGTTCCAACATGATATAATCCCTGAAGGCATTTGCAGCTGGGGGAGTAGGGGAAAAGGGGTTTCTCTTTCAACAAATGCATGTTAACCTCGGTGAAAACTCAGAAGTTTAAACATGGTCCCCCTTGGGTCATGTGGCTACCCCAGGACCAATCATTGCACCAGACATAGGAGATAATCTCAAAAGCCAGGTTGGAGTCAAGGTTCTCCAGTGGAATTTCCACTTTAGAAATCAGTTTTGTCAGGCTTTGTGTTTGCATATTACAGACATGATAGCCATATAGCTATCTATTCCAGTAGAGATGAAAACCTAAGAGCATATGCCCATTCAAAGGATTTTACATGAATCTTCATAGCAGCTTTACTTGCAACAGCCAAAACCTGAAAATAGTCCAAATATCCATGGACAGGTGAATTTGTGACTTATAAACTTACTATGGTATCTGTATATAATGAAATAATACTCCCTAGTAAGAACAGAACAATTGATAGATGTAGCAACATGAATAAATCTCAAAAATAGTGATGCTGAGTGATCAGAAAGTATACATACCCTATGATTTTATGTATTTGGAAATAAAAACTCACGGATAGTGACTAGAAGTGGATCAGTGGTTGCCTGTGGATGGAATGGGGATAGGCAGGAAAAAGTGAGTAGAAAAAGCACAAGGAAACTTTGGTGGTAAAGGTAATGGATATGTTTGCTATTTTCATATGTTGTTGGTTTTGTAGAGCTACAAATGCCAAGAATTATCAAAATGTACAATTGAAGTATGTGCAGTTTATTGCATGTAAATAAACTTTTTAAAAATTAACCGATACAAATTGACTTACATGACCAGAAAGCTCTTGAAAAACTCTCCTGTTTTCTCCCCTATTTTTATTCTTGCATGCCCTTATAGCCTGTGTTAACACATTTCTCATCTTACCGTTATTTTGTGTCTACATTTCACCAAGTCAATATAACTATCACCATAATTTCTTGGTTTCTCTTTAGTTCATTAGTAATTATGAGTAATGTATTGAAATGTTAAAGATATGTTCATGCATTCAGAATGCTCTGCTCTCTGATCCACATAATAGTGAATTATGCTCTCAATAATTACACAGTATAGTAATTTTTTTTTTTTTTTTTTTTTTTTTTTTTTTGAGACGGAGTCACACTTGGTTACCCAGGCTGAAGTGCAATGGTGCATTCTGGGCTCACTGCAACCTCCACCTCACGGGTTCAAGTGATTTTCCTGCCTCAGCCTCCTGAGTAGCTGGGATTACAGGCATCTGCCTTCATCCCCGGCTAATTTTTGTATTTTTATTGGAGACAGGGTTTCACCATGTTGGCCAGGCTGGTCTTGAACCTCTGACCTCAGGTGACCTGCCTGTCTTGGCCTCCCAAAGTGCTGGGATTATAGGCATGAGCCACCACCCCTGGCCAGAATATTGCTACTTTTGCAAATAGCTACAATTGACCCTGATCTGGACTTTGAGTTGATCACAGCTTTGTAAAAGAGGATAGCATTGTAAAACTGCAAAATTAGATTAATAATAACATAGAATGCTTTCAGTATAAGAAATAATACTATCCTAAGCAAAAATAAATAAATAAATAAAACTGGAGGAATTATATTATCTAACTTCATATTATACTACAGAATTACAGTAACCAAAAGAGTAGGGTACTGACATAAAAAGAGGCCCATAGATCAATGAAACACAATAGAGAACCCAGTAACAAATCTACATACCTACAGTGAACTCATTTTTGACAAAGGTGCCAAGAACATACACTGGTGGGAAATGGTGTTGAAAAAACTGGATATCCATATGCAGAAGAATGAAAACAGACTAGTATCTATCACTGAATACAAAAGTAAAATCAAAGTTGATTAAAGATGTAAAGCTAAGACCTCAAACTATAAAACTAGCACAAAAAAACTTTGGGGGAAATCTCCAGGATATTGGTCTGGGCAAAAATATCTTGAGCAATACCCCACAAGCACAGGCAACCAAAGCAAAAATGGACAAATGGATCACATTAAGTTAAAAGCTTCTGCACGGAAAATGATACAAGCAACAAAGTTAAGAGATAATCCACAGAATGAGAGAAAATATTTGCAAACTACTCATCCAACAAAGGATTAATAATCAGAATATATAAAAAGCTCAAACAACTCTTTAAGAAACAATCTAATAACCTGGTTAAAAAAAAGGGGGCAAAAGATTCGAATAGATATTTCTCAAAAGAAGACCTACAAATGGCAAACAGGTATAAGAAAAGGTGCTCAATATCACTGATCATCAGAGAAATGCAAATCAAAACTACAATGAGATATCATCTCACCACAGTTTATAAGACTTGTATGCAAAAGACAGGCAGTAACAAATGCTAGCAGGGAAGCAGAGAAAACGGAACACTTGTACATTGCTCCTGGGAATGTAAATTAATAAAACCACCAAGGTGAACAGTTTGGATGTTTCTCAATAAACTAAAAGTTGAGCTAGCATATGATCTAGCAATCCTACTGCTGGGTCTATACCAAAAATAAAGGAAATCAGTATGTCAAATACATATCTGCACTCCCATATTTGTTGCAGCACTGTTTACAAAACTAAGATTTGGAAGAAACCTTAGTGTCCATCAACAGATGAATGGATAAAGAAAATGTGGTACATATACACAATGGAGGACTATTCAGCTGTAACAAAGAACAAGATCCAGTCATTGTCAGTAACACTGATGGAACATTATGGATCATTATATTAAGTGAAATAAGCCAGGCGCAGAAAGACAAATGTTACATGTTCTTACTTATTTGTGGGATCTAAAATCAAAACAAACTCATGGACATAGAGAGTATAAGGATGGTTATCAGAGGCTGGGAAAGGTAGTTGGGGGGGGGATTTTGTGGGAAGGTGGGGATGGTTAATGGGTATAAAAATAGAGAGTTAATAAGACCTACTATTTTATAGCACAATAGGGTGACTATATCCAATAATAATTTCGTTGTACATTTTGAAATAACTAAGACTGTAATTGAATTTTTTATAACTTGAAGGATAAATGCTTGAGGGGAGGGATACCCCATTCCCCAAGATGTGCTTATTTCACCTTGCATGCCTGTATCAAAACATCTCAGGGACCCCACAGATACATACACATACTATGTACCCACAACATTTTTAAACAATCTAATACAATTTTTTAAATGGCTCTTATTTTTTGTTAACTTCAATTATTGTAAAATATATTCTATTATTTATGATTTGCCTTGTTTGAAAACAAATTTTAAAAACACTATTTAAGACCAGATAAATGGACTAGGAGTAACTTGCATAAAAATGACAGAAATTGCTGCTACTTCTTCTAATTATTGAGATGGTATTTCTATATTTGTGAAATTATCTGATAGAAAATTGAATTGTTTCCAACATTATTTTTCATAATTAAACATGTTATATTGCTACTTCTTTAAAAGTAGCCTTTAAAATATTACCAATCTATTTTAAAGTCTACTTGCCAAAACATTAAACTATTCTTAAAAAAAGTAATTTATTTAATTACCTAACATCCTCAAGCAATGTCCTAATTTTCTCAAGCAATTATCTGATTTTCTCAAGCAATTGATATTAGCAAGTTGTGCTAGCTAACTGCTGAGAATCATTGTCTACATATGAGATAAATCATCTATCAATCCTTTAAAGAAGACTTTATGAGCCATAGAGATTGTAGTCCAATCTGTATCACTGACTTTAAACATTGGATAATTGACACTCCGTGTTGTCTGTAAGCCTATTTCACAGCAGCTGAGTGATGTTAGTAGGTACCTCTTGGAGTGCCATTTTCCTTGTAACCCTTAGATTAATTCAGATTGACTGAGTTCTGTGTCAGTGGAAATTGCCAGAATTATATCATGCTGCTTTGCATCTAGTTTCACTTTTCCAAAAGCCTACACAGATTTCAGATGTTTAGAAAATAGCTCTTGTTTTCCTTCTGGGTAATCTTTTTCATGTCACCACTCTTGTCAGCATCTGCATTGGGCAAATTTCCTAGGACCTCCCTTCTGCGTCTTTTAAAATATGAAAACAAAATCAATGTAGCGCAGCAAGCCAGGGAAAGTCTGCTTTGATTGACTTACGGCCATAGTCACCCAGCAGTTCCTTCAGATGTGGCTTCCCAGGTCAGCCACTGAGCCCACCGCTGTCCTCCTGCCTGCAGAAGTGGCTCTGTGAGCCGTTTGAGGAGAAAATGGGGGACTTTGGGCTTCAGCCCGAGGAGAACACGGTGGAGATGGAGGAGCCCCTGGGCGTCCGCAGGTTAACTGAAAACATGAGAGGACACAAGCACGGGACCAAGTCTGTCACTAACCTGTAAAGTACTCTCACCAAGCCGACCGGGCACTTTGTCTGAGCGCCTGCCTTTGCCACCACTGTGTGCAGGAATGCCTGGGTCATGACTGGGCCATCCCAGTGTTCTTATTTCTATACATTCCGAGGTTACCCCTCAGCAAAACGCCAGAGGCTGGCAGACACAGCGGAGCATCCTGCAGTAGGGATCCGAAGCCGTGGAATCTCCAAAGGACCACTTGACCGCGTCCCAGAAGCTCCAGCTCAGGCTGGACATTGCCCAGAAAGCCCACATCGTCTTTGGCAAGACCTCCCGGATTGTGGTTTTGATTTGCATTTCTCTGATGGCCAGTGATGATGAACATTTTTTCATGTGTCTGTTGGCTGCATAAATGTCTTCTTTTGAGAAGTGTCTGTTCATATCCTTCGCCCACTTTTTGATGGGATTGTTTGATTTTTTCTGGTACATTTTTTTAAGTTCTTTGTAGATTCTGGATATTAGCCCTTTGTCAGATGGGTAGATTGCAAAATTTTTCTGCCATTCTGTAAGTTGCCTGTTCACTCTGATGGTAGTTTCTTTTGCTGTGCAGAAGGTCTTTAGTTTAGTTAGATCCCATTTGTCAATTTTGGCTTTTGTTGCCATTGTTTTTGGTGATTTAGACATGAAGTCCTTGCCCATGCCTATGTCCTGAATGGTATTGCCTAGGTTTTCTTCTAGGGTTTTTATGGTTTTAGGTCTAACATTTAAGTCTTTAATCCATCTTGAAAAGTTAATAATAATAAAAATAATAATATGGAAGAAATTTAAAAAAAACCTCCCAGAGACCAGGAACTTGGGGCGCGCGGCCTGAGATCACCCCAAGCTCTGGGTGCCTTCCTGTCCTTCTGCTTCTTCCTTGGCCGCTTTAGGGGGCGCGCCTTGCCATGCGTCTCCCTGCGGGCGGCGCGGTGGTGCTCCTGGATGTCACCTCCAGGCGCTTTTGAGACTGCGACCGGCACCGGGCACCAGGCACCTGCGGATTGGCCTCCCCACGCCGGGTTCAGGGACCTCCAGCGCTCCGCGGTGCAGGCTGCAGGCGACCTCAACGTGGAGCTGCTGCCAGCGCCACAGGCCCCAGGGGAGGCCCAGGATGCTGCTTCCCCGCCCCAAGAAGGGCAGTTTGGAGGAAAGTCTTTGGCCTGATGGAAGGCGGCGCCCATCGGGGGCGGGGCTGAGAACTAGGCCGGCGCCGCTGCCTGGTAAGCGGGGACCAAGAGGCCCACGGCCTCCATCAGGAACCAGGTGCTTCTCCAAATCCCGGACGTCCAGGAGGAACAACGGCGTCAAGCTGGCTGACACCAGGAACACCCAGAAGTCCCCGCTCCTGTCTGTCCTTCCGCACTCAGGAGCGGGGATGGCCACAGGGACACCATCTGCCCACAAACCGCTGGCGTTTGCTGCCATGGTGCGCGGAGATGCGGTCCCCGAGGAGGCCACTTTCGGCCAGGACGCCGGGATCGTATCAGCAGCAGCATCCCGCGCTGACACTCAGTATTGACTTTTCCCGGACATTGCTGGATTTTTTCCTTTTTAAAACAATTTTGCAGTGGGAGAACAAAAAAGGGCATCCTCAGAGCTTTTACAAAATTCTCCTGGACCTGTTGTTCTATGGTGTTCACCTCTGCGTTTTACGGACCACTAATGGGCCAGAGCTCCTAAGGCCTATAAGGGCCCCACCCAGCGCTTTAGACACCCCTGAGGGACACTCGCGGCTCAGGAGGATAAATGTTCTCAGGGGCGTGCTGTGAGGAGGACATGCAGCCCCTCAGCCACCACATCTTCCTCCATTCCAGCCTGGAAAGAGAGACCTTGCCCTCCACCTTACAGGCCTTCCTGACCTTGGGACCCACTCTAGAGGCCACGCGCATTTCCACTGCCAAAGCAATGACACAGGAGATGGAAAGAAATTCTTGGCCAGGCGCGGTGGCTCACGCCTGTAGTCCCAGCACTTTGGGAGGCCAAGGCGGGCAGATCACGAGGTCAGGAGATCGAGACCATCCTGGCTAGCAAGGTGAAACCCCGTCTGTATTAAAAACACCCAAAAGGTGGCCGGGCTTGGTGGCGGGCTCCTGTAGTCCCAGCTACTCGGGAGGCTGAGGCGGGAGAGTGGCGTGAACCCGGGAGGCGGAGCTTACAGTGAGCCGAGATTGCACCACTGCAGTCCAGCCTGGGGGACAGAGCGAGACTACGCCTCAGGAAAAAAAAAAATTATTTTGCCTTCACTATATGCCTAAGTAATTTCTCTATTAGAGCCCAGAGTCGTGGGGCCCACACCGCCAGCTGACACATGAAAGTGTGGCAACGATGTGGTGGTGTCTCTGTGTGGCAGCGTGGTGGTGTGTCTGTGTGGTGGTGTGTCCGCATTTCTGTGTGGTGGTGTGTCCGTGTGGCAGAGTGTCTGTGTGGTGCTATGTCCATGTGGTGGTGTGTTCATGTATCTGCATGGTGATGTCTCCGTGTGACAGTGTGTTTGTGTATCCGTGTGACAGTGTCTGTGTGTCCTTGTTTCCACATGGCAGTGTCTGTGTGGTGGTGTCTGACAGTGTGGAGGTGTGTCCATGTGACAGTGAGGCGGTGTGTGTGTGTGTGGCAGTGTCCATGTGGCAGTGTGTTTTTGTGTTCGTGTGAGTGTGATGGTGTGTCCATGTGACAGTGTAGTGATGTCTCTTGTGTGTGTCCCTGTGATAGTGTGGTGGTGTGTCCATGTGGTGACGTCTCCGTGTGTCTGTGTGTCCCTGTGATAGTGTGGTGGTGTGTCCGTGTGGATTTCTCCGTATGTCTGTGTGTCCGTCCATGTGAATGTGCCAGTGTGTCCATGTGACGGTGTGTCCGTGTGGTAATGTCTCCGTGTGTCTGTACATGTGACAGTGTGGTGGTGTGTGCGTGTAACAATGTGGCGGTGTTCCCTTCCCGGCTTGCGGAGCTGGCGTCTTTCCCTCTCAGCCCAGGATGCCCCAGGAGACCCCCAGCTTGGAGGGCAGGAGGTGGCTTCTGTGGAGGGAGGCGCAGGGAGCCCCAACAGCCGAGTTTTGGGGTCCCCTGCATTGGGTGGGAGTGAGGAGAAAGGTGCCCGGGCAGCCAGGACAAGCCTGGGCCTGCCCTAAGGAGGTGACCCACTCCGGGCCTGCATTTTGGGGCGAGCACTCCAG
Source organism: Homo sapiens (assembly GCF_000001405.40). Taxonomy (NCBI): domain Eukaryota; kingdom Metazoa; phylum Chordata; class Mammalia; order Primates; family Hominidae; genus Homo; species Homo sapiens. The sequence continues at coordinate 21,385,727 of NC_000015.10, forward strand.
CTCGGTCATCTTGTCCTAAGTCCTTTGTGTGCCGTGGAGATTGCTGAGTTTTGAAGAAGGGAAGGTCATCTTTGTCGCGGAAAGCCTGATGTGTTTCTCTATTGCTGTCACTTTTCAGCCTCATGGCTGGCGAAACATCAAACATTGGGCACCTTCTGCCAAGAAAACTCCCGGAAGAAAATGTGGGGACTGGCAGTATCCAACCAGAGGAGTCACACACAGATTTCTGTTTGGTTGGAGATCGGCCGTTTTTCCCTGTGGGTGGGGGAAGCGCAGCAGCTCTGCAGCGGGAAGGAAGGGGGGTTCTGTGTGGCCAGGAAGGTCCTGGCCCGGGGCGGAGGGGCCAGAGGTGATGTGCGGCGAAAGGCTGTGCAGGGCAGCAGGCAGTGTGCATCGCCCCTACTGCCGGGCGCCCAGGAGGAGGACAGGTCCCGGCCTGGCAGGAGCAGAGGCGATGCGGCTGGAGTCCCCGCACCAGGCTTGAGGGCCGGCGGAGCCGCAGGCTGTGGCGGAGGGGGACTCCCGGGCACCTGGTGGGTGTCCCCATGACCAGGATGCACACCGGGCTCCGGAGGCCAGGCGGACCAAGCTAGGGGTGCCAGGGGAGGCTCGAGGTTCCCTCGGTGGGAGGTGGGTCCCTGGACCCTGGTCTCCTGCTGCTGTCCCCCCTTCGCTCAGGGGCACCCCGCCAGGGTCGCCTATCTGGGACCTCAGCGCAGCTCCTAGTGGGCGGGAGGCTGAGGCAGAGGCCTCCGGGCCCAGCTGGGTCTGCAGTTTCCACCACTCGTGATGCAGGGCGAGCTCAAGCTGTGCCACCCAGGCAGGAAACCCTCCGACCTTGCCAGCTTTGGCGCCAGCCTTGGTGACTCTCTCCAGCTCAGCTTCAACACCTTTCAACAGTTCTGTGTTCTCTATTATCACAAGAATTCTTTCTGTATTTTCTATCCTTTATCAAATAGGAATTTAAATATGCATATGGAGTGATTATCACAGTTGAAACATTAAACAATATACAATTTCATGTGTCTTTTTTGTTTAATGTATAATTTTCTAAGAAGTAAAATTATGACTCTACTGCAAATATAAGATAAACACATATCAACAATGTTTTTCAACTCAATAAGCGATGAGGGTTCCAGTAACAGGTTCAAATCATTGCAAGGAACATTAAAGGAGCTTTACAGCCAATGTTAACGTCAGATCGCTGGGTACTTACAGTACTGGTTAGTATCCAACATAGCCAGAAGCTGTCATCTTTGTGAGTTCTCTCTTCCATGGCACAGAAATGATGCGTTTTTCTACTGTACAAAATATTTATCTTTTCTACTACTTCTGCACATAAAAATATTGCTAGTCAGAAAAGACCAGAATTGCACTGAAAGAAAATCTCAGTAATATCTCTCACCTGTATTCTTACTTTTTCTTCCTTTATGAAATATCTTTCAACTGCATTTTCTATCTGAAAGTTTATAGAGAGATGAAAATGAATAAAAGCATAGTAAGTGAATATTTTGATAACATTTTGCAGCTTTATTCATGTCTAACGAACATAAAACACACTTCCAATATTTAAAGTGTAAATGAGATGAATTTGATATGTACATGTGCCCATTAATCACCATGAAGGGGACAATGAGCATATCCAATACTCTCAAAGCTTCCCAGTTCTCTTTTGTAATGCACACTCATACCTCTCAGGTGTGAAGTATTGAGCTTCACACACACACACACACACACACACACACACACACACACACACAAATATATACTGGGATATCTAATTGTTTCAGAAGCATTTGTTGAAAATGTTATGTCCATGAATGGTCTAAGAACTTTATCAAAAATTAGCTGATAGATGATATACATGTGTATATCTATATTTGTACTACATTGTCTTAAGTATTACTGTAATGTTATAAGTCTTGAATCCAGGTGCTGTTAATTCTCCAGCAGCACCTGGTTTCAAAGTAACTGTTTCCTTTCAAAGTAATTTGCCATTATAGGTCCTCTACCCATCGATGTACATTTCAGAATTTTAGTTTCTCAATTTCTAAAATAAGAAATCCAGCTGTGATTTGATTGGAATTGTTATAGATCAATGTGGAAAGAGTAGACATCTTAACAATATTGAGATTTATGACTCATAAATTCCATTTATTTAGGTCTCGTTTATTTTAGCAATATTTTGTAGTTTTGTAGTTTTCAAATGTTTCTCTTTTTTGCTGGTTTATCTCTAAGTACTACATATTTTGATATTTACAATAATATCAAAATTATGGTAATATTAATGCAAATGTTGTTTTTTTTTTCCTCCATTAATTGTCAGGTAGTTTTAAATCATAATTTAATTGTATGATAAAACTGAATTTTGCGAGAAATGTATACATATTGTATATATACTTTTTTTCAGTTTGGCAGATTGACTGCATTATCATATCATAATTTAAAATTGCACTAATTACCACTCAGCCTCCTCTCAAGGACAATATATCAAAATATATAGCATGTTTCAGTTTACTTAGCATCATGAAACTCTCATATTGCACTTACTTTTGGAAACCTGGAATAATAAAATAATGTAAATGTCAGTTCACAGGCGACATATGAGTACATGCGACAATTTTCTAAATATCGACCTATCGCTCTTTAATTCTATGTTAATATTGTCAATTTTTTCCTCCTCTTGCAACTCTCTTATGCAGCTTATTGACTTTTGGTTCAATTCCTTCCCTGTTTTCCCCCCAATCTACTTTCTAATATTTTACTGATGTTGTGCTCCTTTTTATTTGGACACTTTTAAAAAGCTGTGTAATTTCTCCTTTGTATTAAAATGCAAATCCATATCCAAAATAAATGAGCGGAGGGACCAAAAAGATGTTTGTGCAGCGTGTCCATTAGCAATATTATTCACAATAATCAAAGGGAGGGAGCAGCCCATGTGAATATTGATGGATGAGTGGTTAAACAAAATGTGGTATATACGGCAACATAATAATATTCAGCCTTAAAATATATTCTCACACATGTTACAAAATAGATGAAACTTGAAGACATGCTAAGTGAAATAAGCCAGTCAGAAAAATTCAAACATTCTATCATGCCACTTCTATGAGTTACTTAGTGAAATTTGTAGAGACAGAAAGTAGAATGGTGATTGCTAGGGGGAAGGAGAGGGAGAGGAATGGGAAGTTGGTGTTCAATGAGTAAAGCATTTTAGTTGGAGAAGAAGACAAGTTTTGGAGGTCTATGGTGGTGACTGTTGCACAATAGTGCAAATATACTTAATGCCACAAAACTGTGCACTTAAAGTGATTAAAAAGGTAAATTTTATGTTGTGTATATCTTTCCAGAATTATAAACCTGCCATCACAGTATAGAAATAGAATATATTATATAGCGTTAGGTGATGATATTTTACACATTTGCACATAATTAGAATTTCAAAGCCTTAATTTCAGATACGGTAGTCTAAGACATAACAATATTGATGTAAGAAAGCCGTAAGAAATGTTTATTTTCAATCAGATTTACTAAAAAAATTTATTGAACTGGTCAATTTTCTTTGCCAATATTACTGTATTCTTATTTCTAGTAATAGAGGTGTGAGAAAGCATCAAGGAAACTAAAATTGCATTCTCATACTGACTGCATACAATAATTCTGAAAACAGCAGAAGTTATGTATATCCCCCATAAGTAAAACATGAGTAACACAACAGAACAAAAATTAATAGGAGACAATTCAAATAATGGTGACCTGTTATTCTTATCTAGTTAAGTACTATTCTTTTCTAACAGGAATTTGCTATTTCAAATATATTATCTGAGATGTCTATATTTATATTTTGAGATGCCATACAAACTTGAGTCAATGACATAGAATTTTACAAATCAAGAAGCTTATTCTGGGGTCATTTCTTTTGACATTAAACTACTAAAGAGGCATTAATGATCCATAAATTATATTATCTATATTTACAGCATTTAAAATGTGTTCAGCATGAAATATTAGTTACAGGATAAGTGAAATAAATTAAACATGGAATAAAGATTTATCCTTAAATATAAATTACAAGAAGACTTGGTATTAGTTTTTCACAAGTGAAGCATTCTTATAAAATGTCATAACCTTTTTGGGGAAACTCTGGGAAAAAATGGAGAAACTCTGAAGGGTTTTAAGTATCTTTCCTGAAGCTACAGACTCCATAATCTCTCTTTACAGGGAGCTCCTGCAGCTCCAACAGAAATGAGTGGCTGAGATTCCTGGTTGCAGAGCAGAGCTTCTCATCCAAACCCTTTCCCTTTTTAGTGTCTGTGTATCAGTATAAAAGTTCTATAAACTGTAGTTACTTATTTTAATCCCAAAGCACAGTAACAATATATTTCATCCAAGGGTTGGCAGTTTCTGTGAGTGTTTTGTCTAATTCTCCAAAACTCTATCTACAGGATTCCAAACAGCCTAAAAAGTAAAATATTTTAAAAAGGGGAAAGGGAGAAAGGGAAAGAAAATAAAATTAATAGCCCATTCTGTCACTGTTATTAAACACCAGAATACCTTTCTGTTAATCTAATTAAAATTAGTGACATCATTTAACATTTATGTCTTCAACAAAAGTTTGGAATCCTGAAAAAGACATTTAATTTCCTAATAAATATATTTGAATTGAATTGAAATCCTTACATATTACTTTAAATAAAGAACACAAGATGATTTATGATGTAGAAAATTCTATCCCTCATTGTCCAAAATCTAATAGTTAAATTGAACTTGTTAAATAATATTTTTGGCCAGGCATGTGGCTTACATCTGGAATCCCAATACTTTGGGAGGCAAAGACAGGTGGATTGCTTGAGCTGAGTAGTTGCAGACCAGGCTCGGCAACATGGTGAAACCCAATCTTTACCAAAAAAAAAAAAAAAATTTTAGCCAGGCGTAGTGGCTTGCCTGCCTGTAGTCCCAGCTACTCAGGAGGATGAGGTGGGAGGATCACCGGAGCCTGGGGAAGCTGGGGCTGCAGTGAGCCATGATTGTGCCACTGCACTCCAGCTTGGGCAACAGACTGAGACCCTGTCTCAAAGAAAGACAGAAAGAAAGACAAGAAAGACAAGAAAGACAAGAAAGAAAAGAAAGAAAGAAAGAAAAGAAAAGAAAGAAAGAAAGATAAAGAGAGAAAGGAAGGAAGGAAAATTAATAGTTTTGGTGGCAATAATCTTTATGGAATTTTGCTTTAATGAAATAGATTTAACTAAGTAGTGACATGATCTGCTTAAGTGTATTGACCCTAGCAATCAGAGGCCTCCGTATCCCCACAATGACTTAACAGTTACATTTGACAAGCCTTGATTCTCCTATCCTACGCACAGCATAGTCAGAATTTCAGAATTCCAACTTTCCCCATGCTATTTGGGCACGTTGCTTAACATCTCTAAGACTCGATATTTATACTCTTAAGATACTACTAATAATAGTACCTAGTTTTTATGATATAATGTGCATCAAAAGCATTATACTTTCAGGCAGATGGCAATTTCTCAATAAATATTTGCTAATGTTTTAGTACAAACAGGAAAATTGGATTATGATATTTATGACACTGTTGATTCTCCTTCTAGAAACATTTGTTTCTAAAACTTGTTTTCAAATTAGAGCACTATTTTGTATTCAGATTGAAAATACTATATGTTCAGATTTTTTAAAAAACAGTATTGCATGAATGTTTTAATTAAAATATTCCTAAATGAGCTTGAGCAAGGAGGACAGGGGAGATAAGTAAAATAAGGCTTTGTGGCATAGGAGACATTTGGTGGAAATCTTTCAGCTCAACTAAGATTTGAAAAAAAAAGAGAATTTTTATAAAAAATGTAAAGGCAGGATTTACACTGATGAGCTTGTGGAGAAAATACAGAGTCTAACATAATTCAAAAGAGACTAATCAGTCAAAGTGGTTTCGAAGGAATATCTTGAAGAGAGAGAACATAAAATGAAGATCAGGTATGTAGTTATTTTAATAATCTATCCATGAGATAAAAAGCATTGGGTTTTATTTGTCAAAATGGGACAATAGTTCCAAGAACCATTATTTGCTCAGCCTAAAGAGGTTTTTACATTTTGAACCAGCGACATATTGTGCTAAGTAGGATAATATCCAAATTTGTGTCTATATCAATAATTTTGTTCTCAATTAAAAACACTTTATTCACACAACTGATGATTATCTGCATTTGATTTAGTGCTGAACTGTCAAAGGGGGACTAACAAAAACAAAATATTAGAGTTGCAAGCAGTGTAAGTGGAAAATAATGATCATATTGAACTCATCATTACTGAAATAAGAAAACAAAGCAAAAAATAAATAAGAAAAAAATTGACTACGTGAACATTTGCTTCTCTCCTAAGAATCAAAACCCTTAATTTGCTGTGGCAAAAAAGCATCTGGGTCCATGAACCCATGCAAAAGTCTACTGTTTCTGGGAGATAAGAAGAAGCAAAACACATCAGCTTCCAGAGAAGGTTAAGAAACCTCTCATACCCTACCCTACCCCACCTGACACCAGGCAAAGGATCACTGCTTCTGGGAGAGGGATGCAAGAAAAATACTCCTCCATCAGGAGAGGAACAAGGATTGTTTTGGGGCCCAGGATTTTGCACTAATGCAGAGTCGTGTTACTGTGGTAAAGGTTTGGAAAGTCTCCATCCAGTGACCACAGACAAAGGTACATTGTTCCTATGGAAGGAGAAATAAAAGAGTTTGCCCTTATTGTGGGGTTGAAAACTTGCAATGATATAAATCAGGGGTTTTCTACTACTGAGGTGGGAGGAGGGTAAGGTATTATTTCTTCTGCAAAAAACAACACAGGTAAGTGACAGTTTGACTCCCACTAGAAAAAGAGTCAAGAAGTGTTAAAAATACCCCATCTCTGAGTGTCCAATGATGAAACTGGCTCAAAAACAACACAAACCATCCCTCTGTCCCCAACCTGAATTTTTTGCCTAGTCACACACACACACACAAAATGATGTTCTACAGTTAGAGAAGAACAAGAAAGTGGAGAGAGACCCTCTCTATAACATAGGTTGTAAGGACTACCGAAAGCTAACTGTGGAACAGGATCATTGGCATATGCTCTCCAGAGTCTAAGGCCCCACACAAGGCACATCATATAGCAGTCTACTGCTGGAGAAATCTGAGTTACATTGTTCACTGAATGTTTCAGACACCGCAGCAAAAAGCAACCTTTGTTCCTGCCCACACTAATCGCATGACACAAACAAAAATGAAACAGAAATATAAAACAATCTCGACATAAATAATTATCTCATGATCTACTGTTTTTCTACATCAGATGATTTGCATTTTTTAGAAATTGGGAGACACATAAAAGCAAGTTAGAAATTTGAGTTATGAGTTATAATATTTTCAAAGGATAAAAAGTCAACAGAATCAAATTCAGAGATAATTCAGATGTTGGAACTAAATGAAAGTAATTTAAAATAATAATGATCAAAATGTGAAAGGATCTAGTTAAAAAAAGACAACATGTATGGAAAAATGAGGAATTTCAGCAAAGATGGGAACAGTAAAAGGCAAAATCTAGAAATAAGTGAAAGCATGAGAACAGAGATGAAGTATTACATCAGCAAGCTGATTAGCAGACTGGTCATCAGAGTTAAAGAAAGAAGCAGTAAATTTTATACTAGGTCAATACAAATCATTTGAATGGTAGCACAAAGGGAGGAAAGAGAAAAACCAAATAAACCAATGAACCAAGCAAATAAAATACTCCAGTGAATCAAAGAATTTTCTGGTAATATGAAATTAACCAAAATACAATTAATTGGAATTACAGAAGGAGAGTAAAAACAGAATGTGAGAGAAGAAAAATTTGAAAAAGATGACTGAGGAGACCAAATAACCTCAAAATATACAAGAAAGATTAATACAAAATTTAAAGAACGCTAGAATAATCACACTAGTGAAACTGCTGAAAACCAACGATTAGCATAAATCTTGAATTCAGTCACAGAAAAAATAAGAACACTGTGTAGAGAGATAAACAGAAACAAACATTGTAATGAACTGCTTGTCAGTAACTCTACAAGTCAGAAACCAATGATACAAAATTCTTAAATAACTGAAGAAAAGTCAACCCCCAATCTTATATCCATTAACTGTAATACAGCAAAAATAACAATTAAATGACATTTGCAGATTAACACTGGAAGAGTCCCTTGCTAACAGGCATGCACTAAAATAAATGTCAAAATCATTTCTTGAGGCAAAAGGAATATGGAAGCAGGTGAAAGTTGAAACTACACAAAGAAATAAATAATGCCAGAGAAGATATAAAGATATATAACCCAATTATTTTACATTGCTCTAAAGATAATTGATTGTCTAATTTTTTAAAAAAAGAGTAACTTTATATTATGGAATTCATAATATTTGAGACTATAATGCATGACATAAATAGTATAAAGGAGAGAGGAAACAGAAATATACATTTTAAGGTTTTTATACCATAGTTGGTATAGTACAAATTATAGGTTACTGTAATAAGCTAGAATAGGTATTGAAATCTCTAGAGAAACCATGAACATTTTTAAAAAATGGTATGTGCATTAATGTTTTCATAGAACTTCCAGCTTTTATTTATTTGTTTGTATTCATTTAATTTTATTTATTTTTTTTGAGATGGAGTCTCGCCCTGTTGCCCAGGCTGCAGTGCAATGGTGTGATCTCAGCTCACTGCAACCACCTCCGCCTCCCAGGTTCCAATGGTTCTCCTGCCTCAGCCTCCTGAGTAGCTGGGATTACAGGTGCCCACCACCATGCCCAGCTAATTTTTGTATTTTTAGTAGAGACGGGGTTTCACCATGTTGGCCAGGCTTGTCTCAAACTCCTGGCCTCATGATCGGCCCACCTCAGCTTCCCAAAGTGCTGGGATTACAGACTTGAGACACCGTGCCAGGCCCCAGCTTTTAGTTTTTAAGGTAGTTGTTGTGTTATTACATGTGAAGTAAGGTTATTCTTAAATATCCATGTTTTGAGAATTAATGATAAAGACAAGTTAATTTATCTCAATCTAAATGACATTTTAATATTAAATATTTAAATATTTTTATTACTTTTCCTTTTTAACAGAAGTCATTCTAACTGGTGTGAGATGGTATTTCACTGATGTTTTGTTTTGCATTTCTCTGATGATTAGTGATGGTATGCATGTGTTAATATGTTTGTTGGCCACATATGTGTTCTTCTGAAAACTGTTCACGTTCTTTGCCCATTTTTTAATGGGGTTATTTATTTTTTGCTCGTTGATTTGCCTAAGTCTCTTATGGCTTCTGGATAATAGGCCTTTGCTGTATGCATAGTGTGTGAATATTTTCTTCCATTCGGTAGGCTGTCTGTTCAATCCCTTGAGAGTTTCTCATGCTGTGCAGAAGAAGCTCTTTAGTTTAATTAAATCATACTTGTCAATTTTTATTTTTCTGGCAATTGCTTTTGAGGACTTACCCATAAATTCATTGCCAAGTGCAATGTCCAGGTGAATATTTCCTAGGTTTTCTTCCAGGATTTTTATAGGCAGAGGATGTAATCTCATGTCAATGGGTCTTAATAATCAAATGACTCCACACTGAGAATCATTACTGTGAAAAATCGATTTTGTTATAATGATAGAAATTTAAACATATAAAAGTAAAAACAGATGCCACCTCTTTGCTAGAACTCTACAAGGCAAATTACTATAAGAGAGCCATTGCAGTGAAATAAGTGAAAGCACATTATAAATAAACTTACCTGATTTTACAAACTAACCTGTAAAGGGATTTGTACTAATTTTTCCATTGCCTGCATTGCCCTTTCTTCTAGATCCAATTTATATTTTTGTACTTCACCAATGTGTCTTCACCAATGTGTACTTTCCATACGTTTTTTAAGATTTAATATTACTTTTTCCAACATCTTTTTAGCCTCCTCAAGATTTTTACATTCCTGTTGTATTTTTTCATACATAATAACTCCTGTTGAATACCTTGATTGTTTTGAGTCAAACAGACATATTTTGAAGATACAGCTTCCAGCTCTGCTGTAAGATCACCAAACTACATTAATAAAATAATATAACTTGAAAATGAAGTAGGCTGAGAATAATCTCATACAAAACCAGTAACAAATTTTGAAATACATTTACTTGCAATAAAATGTTATCTATAATGTAGATTCTTTAAATGTTAACCCTTAAATTACTCAGAAATTCAAGAACAAAGTAAAAGCCACCATAAGTCACATATATTCTTTACTATCATCTTTGCCACAGAACTTTTGCACTTGATCTTTCTTTTACTTTTCTGATAATTTGTGTTTTTTCCTCCTTAAATGGCTCTATGTTAACTCTTATTAGAAAGTTTCAAACCCCTTTCTCTCATCATCGTGCCCCAAAATTTGTCAAAAAAAGTTTCAGAGATATAATATTGAGTTATTTAGGCCAAAGTCAATAAATGGCTCTTAGAATAAGACTTTGAAAATAATGTAATACTCTATGCTAGGCATGGTGGCTCATGCCTGTAATCCCAGCACTATAGGAGGCTGTGGCAGAAAGATTACTTGAGGCCAGGAATTTGAAACCAGCCAGAGCAACATAGTGATAACATAATCTCGACAAAAAATTTTATTTAAAATTAACCAGGCATGGTGATTTATGCTTGTAGATCCAACTAGTTGGGAGACTAAGGCACAAGGATGGCTTGGACTCAGAGTTCATGGCTGCAGTGAATTATGACCAAGCCACTCCACTTCTGCCTGGATGACAGACAGAGACCATATCTCAAAAAAACACAAAATAATCCTATAAATAAGGATTCTAATGCCATAAGCCTTTCCCTAGGCTGTAAATGTTTTATGCTAATTTGAATTGCATTTTTAAAAGTAATGACTCTTGGGGTAGAGGCCATAGAATACAGCACCCAGATATAAATCCACATATTTGCCTTACAAGAAATAAATCCACATTCTTGCCTTACAAGAGCTCCTGAAGGAAGCACTAAACATGGAAAGGGACAAACAGTATGAGCCACTGGGAAAACATACCAAATTGTAACGACCATCGACACTATAAAGAAACTGCATTAACTAATGGGAAAAAATAAACAGCTAACAACATCATGACAGGATAAATTTCACATGTAACAATATTAACCTTAAATGTAACTGGGCTAAATGCCCCAGTAAAAAGACACAGACTGGCAAGTTGGAAAAAGACTCAAGACCCATTGGTGTGCTGTATTCAGGAGACTCATCTCACATGCAAAGACACACACAGGCTCAAAATAAAGGGACGGAGGAATATTTACCAAGCAAATGAAAAGCAAAAAAAAAAAAAAAAAAAAAAAAAAAAAAAAAAAAGCAGGGCTTGCAATCCTAGTCTCCGATAAAACAGACTTTAAATGGAAAAGATCAAAAGAGACAAAGGGCATTACAAAGCAGTGCCATCTGCTTTTCCTCAGGACTCTGCTCCATCAGCCATCAGGTGGCAGCCATTCAGGCTGTTGGAACCTGGCCATCCATGCTTCTTTGAGTGGGTGAGATTAAAGGCTGGTCCAACTGCACCAGGAGCATGCTTGCAGAGGTGGCTGCTTGCTCTTTGAGCCAGCTTGGCCTTGCCTGTCATGCACAGGCCCCAGCTACTGACACGCTGCTCTGAGTGAGCTTGTCCTGCCTGGGGCCAAATTCTAAGTCTGGCCAGGGCCACAGAAGGGCAAGTCCCCTGGGTGGTAATCCTGACTTTTTTCTGCACTTGAACATAAAGTCCTCCTCAAGACGGCCTGTGGTCTGCCTCTTGGCAACCAAGAAGCCTGCAGTGCCATATAAGCTCGGAGGCATGGACTAGAGCCCCAAAGGCAGTGAACACCCTGCTCCTGAGCCTGCTGCTCATTTCCTCTGTGTGGCTCCATTTGTAGCACAGTTGTTGTACTGAGGCTTGTGCATGCTGGGCAAGGACAAGCTGGCTCAAAGAGGAACCAGCCACTTCTGCAAGGGTGTGCCAGGAGCAGGTAGACCAGCCACCAACCTCACTCGCTGCCTGCCAGACATGGCACATCAGTTCTTCTACCCTAGAGGTAGGGCCCCAGTGCCATCTGCTTTTTCTGAGGCCTCTGCTCCATCAGCCATCAGGTGGCAGCCACACAGGCTGTGGGAACCTGCCTATGCTTGCTTCCTTGAGTAGCAGAGGTTGGTGGCTGCTCTACCTGCTCCCGGTGCACCCCTGCAAAGGTGGCTGGTTGCTCTTTGAGCCAGCTTGGCCTTGCCTGGCATGCAGAGGCCCCAGCTACTGACATGCTCCTCTGAGTGAGCTTGTCCTGCCTTGGCCCAAATTCTAAGTCTGGTCAGGTCCACAGAAGGCAGAGTCCCCTGGGTGGTAATGCTGGCTGCTTTCTGCATTTGAACACAAAGTCCTCCTCCAGACGACCTGTGGTCTGCCCCTTGGCAATGAAGAAGCCCGCAGTGCCATATGAGCCCTGAGGCATGGACTGGAGCCCCAAAGGCAGTGCACACCGTGCTCCTGATCCTGCTGCTCATTTCCTCTCTGTGGCTCCATTTGTAGCACAGTTGTTGCACTGAGGCTTGTGCATGCCGAGCGAAGCCAAGCTGGCTCAAAGAGGAACCAGCCACCTCTGCAAGGGTGTGCCAGGAGCCGGTGGAGCAGACACTAAACTCACTCGCTGCCGGTTGGGGCACATCAGTTCTTCTCCCATAGAGGTCGGGCCCCAGTGCCATCTGCTTTTCCTCAGGCCTCTGCTCCATCAGTCTCCAGGTGGCAGCCACTCAGACTGTTGGAACCTGGCCATCCATGCTTCCTTGTGTGGGTCAGTTTGATGGCTGCTACATCTGCTCCAGGCACACCCTTGCAGAGGTGGCTGGTTGCTCTTTGAGACAGTTTGGCCTTGCCTGGCGTGCACAGGCTCCAGCTACCGATACGCTGCTCTGAGTGAGCTTGTCCTGCATTAGGCAAAGTTCTAAGTCCGGTCAGGGCCACAGAAGGCAGAGTCCCCTGGGTGGTAATCCTGGCTGCTTTCTGCACTTGAACATAAAGTCCTCCTCAAGATGGCCTGTGGTCTGCCTCTTTGCAACCAAGAAGCCCACAGAGCCATACTAGCCCGGAGGCATTGACTGGAGCCCCAAATGCAGCACACACCCTGCTCCTGAGCCTGCTGCTCTGTTTTCTCTGTGTGGCCCCATTTGTAGCACAGTTGTTGTACTGAGGCTTGTGCATGCTGGGCAAGGCCAAGCTGGCGCAAAGAGAAACCAGCCACCTCTGCAAGGGTGTGCCAGGAGCAGGAGGACCAGCCACCAACCTCGCTCACAGCCGGTCGGTGTACATCACTTCTTCTACCCAAGAGGTAGAGCCCCAGTGCCATCTGCTTTACCTCAGGCCTCTGCTCCATCAGCCATCAGGACGCAGACATGCAGGCTGTGGGAACCTGGCCATCCCTACTTCCTTGAGTGGGTGAGGTTGGTGGCTGCTCCACCTGCTCCAGGTACACCCTTGCAGAGGTGGCTGGTTGCTCTTCGAGCCACCTTGGCCTTGCCTGGCATGCACAGGCCCCAGCTACTGATACACTGCTCCGAGTGAGCTTGCCCTGCCTGGGGCCAAATTCTAAGTCTGGTCAGGGCCACAGAAGGCAGAGCCCCTGGGTGGTAATACTGGCTGCTTTCTGCATTTGAACATAAAGTCCTCCTCAAGATGGCCTGTGGTCTGCATCTTGGCAACGAAGAAGCCCACAGTGCCACACGAGCCCTGAGGCATGGACTGGAGCCCCAAAGGCAGCGCACACCCTGCTCCTGAGCCTGCTGCTCGTTTCCTCTATGTGGCTCCATATGTAGCACAGTTGTCGCACTGAGGCTTGTGCATGCCAGGCAAGGCCAAGCTGGCTCGAAGAGTAACCAGCCACCTCTGCAAGGGTGTGCCAGGAGCAGATGGACCAGCCACCAACCTCACTCACTGCCGGTCAGGGTACATCACTTCTTCTACCCTAGATGTAGGGTCCCAGTGCCATCTGCTTTTCCTCAGGCCTCTGCTCCATCAGCCATCAGGAGGCAGCCACTCAGGTTGTTGGAATCTGGCCATCCCTGCTTCCTTGAGTGGGTGATGTTGGTGGCTGCTCCACCTGCTCCTGGAGCACCCTTGCAGAGGTGGCTGGTTGCTCTTTGAGACAGCTTGGCCATGCCTTTCATGCACAGGCTCCAGCTACTGACACGCTGCTCTGAGTGTGCTTGTCCTGAGTTAGGCCAAATTCTAAGTCCGGTCAGGGCCACAGAAGGCAGAGTCCCCTGGGTGGTAATCCTGGCTGCTTTCTGCACTTGAACATAAAGTCCTCCTCAAGATGGCCTGTGGTCTGCCTCTTTGCAACCAAGAAGCCCACAGAGCCATACTAGCCCGGAGGCATTGACTGGAGCCCCAAATGCAGCACACACCCTGCTCCTGAGCCTGCTGCTCTGTTTTCTCTGTGTGGTTCCATTTGTAGCACAGCTGTTGTACTGAGGCTTGTGCATGCTGGGCAAGGCCAAGCTGGCGCAAAGAGAAACCAGCCACCTCTGCAAGGGTGTGCCAGGAGCAGGTGGACCAGCCACCAACCTCACTCACAGCTGGTCGGTGTACATCACTTCTTCTACCCAAGAGGTAGAGCCCCAATGCCATCTGCTTTTCCTCAGGCCTCTGCTCCATCAGCCATCAGGATGCAGCCATGCAGGCTGTGGGAACCTGGCCATCCCTACTTCCTTGAGTGGGTGAGGTTGGTGGCTGCTCCACCTGCTCCAGGTGCACCCTTGCAGAGGTGGCTGGTTGCTCTTTGAGCCAGCTTGGCCTTGCCTGGCATACACAGGTCCCAGCTACCGACATGCTGCTCTGAGTGAGCTTGTTCTGCTTTGGCCCAAATTTTATCTCTGTCCAGGGCAGAGTCCCCTGGGTGGTAATCCTGCCTACTTTCTGCACTTGAATATCAAGTCCTCCTCAGGATGGCCTGTGGTCTGCCTCTTTGCAACGAAGAAGCCCGCAGTGCCACACGAGCCCTGAGGCATGGACTGGAGCCCCAAAGGCAGCGCACACCCTGCTCCTGAGCCTGCTGCTCATTTCCTCTCTGTGACTCCATACCTAGCACAGATGTTGCACTGAGGCTTGTGTATGCCAGGCAAGGCCAAGCTGGCTCAAAGAGCAACCAGCCACCTCTGCAAGCGTGTGCCAGGAGCCGGTGGAGCAGCCACCAAACTCACTTGTTGCAGGTCAGGGCACATCAGTTCTTCTACCCTAGAGGTAGGGCCCCAGTGCCATCCGCTTTTCCTCAGGCCTTTGCTCCATCAGCCATCAGGAGGCAGCCATTCAGGCTGTGGGAACTTGGCCATCCCTACTTCCTTGAGTAGCTGAGGTTGGTGGCTGCTCCACATGTCCCAGGTGCACCCTTGCAGAGGTGACTGGTTCCTATTTGAGTCAGCCTGGCCTTGCCTGGCATGCATAGTCTCCAGCTACTGACATGCTGCTGTGAGTGAGCTTGTCCTGCCTTGGCCCAAATTCTAAGTCTGGTCAGGGCCACAGAACGCCAAGTCCCCTGGGTGGTAATCCTGCTGCTTTCTATACTCGAACATAAAGTCCTCCTCAAGACAGCCTGTGGTCTGCCTCTTGGCAACCAAGAAGCCCGCAGTGACATATGAGCCCTGAGCCATGGACTGGAGCACCAAAGGCAGTGTACACCCTGCTCCTGAGCCTGCCTCTAATGTCCTCTGTGTGGTTCCATTTGTAGAACAGTTGTTGCACTGAGACTTGTGCATGCTGGGCAAGGCCAAGCTGGCTCAAAGAGCAACCAGCCACCTCTGCAAGGGTGTGCCAGGAGCAGGTGGACCAGCCACCAACATCACTCGCTGCCAGACATGGTACCTCAGTTCTTCTATCCTAAAGGTAGGGCCCCAGTGCCATCTGCTTTTCCTCAGGCCTCTGCTCCTTCAGCCATCAGGTGGCAGCCACTCAGGCTGTGGGAACCTGGCCATCCCGGCTTTGTTGAGGGGGTGAGATTGGTGGCTGGTCCAACTGCTCTAGGCACACCCTTGCAGAGGTGGCTGGTTGCTCTTTGAGCCAGCTTGGCTTTGCCTGGCATGCACAGGCCCCAGGTACTGACACGCTACTCTGAGTGAGCGTGCCATGCCTGGGGCCAAATTCTAAGTCTGGCCAGGGTCACAAAAGGCTGAGTCCCCTAGGTTGTAATCCTGGCTGCTTTCTGCACTTGAACATAAAGTCCTCCACAAGATGGCCTGTGATCTGCCTCTTGGCAACCAAGAAGCCCACGGTGCCATATGAGCCCTGAGGCATGGACTGGAGCCCCAAAGGCAGTGTACACCCTGCTCCTGAGCCTGCTGGTCATTTTCTGTGTGGCTCCATTTGTAGCACAGTTGTTGCACTGAGGCTTGTGAATGCCAGGCAAGGCCAAGCTGGCTCAAAGAGCAACCAGCCACCTCTGCAAGGATCCACCTGGAGCAGGTGGACCAGCCACCAACCTCACCCACTTAAGGAAGCAGGGAATGTGTGTTTGTACCATGCATTGCACTACAAGTACATTTCTCCTGAGTTTGGTGGCCTAGGTTTTCTTCTAGGTTTTTTATGGTTTTAGGTCTTAAGTTTAACTCTTCAATCCATCGTAAGTTAATTTTTGTATAAAGTGTAAGGAAGTGGCCCAGTTTCAGTATTCTGCATATGGCTAGCCAGTTTTCCTAACACCATTTATTGAATAAGGAATCCTTTCCCCATTGCTTGTTTTTGTCAGGTTTGTCAAAGATCAGATGGTTTTAGATGTGTTGTGTCATTTCTGAGGCCTCTGTTCTGTTCCATTTGTCTATATATCTGGTTTGGTACCAGTACCATGCTGTTTTGGTTACTGTAGCCTTGTAGAATAGTTTGAAGTCAGGTACCGTGATGCCTCCAGCTTTGTTGTTTTTGCTTAGATTGTCTTGGCTACGCGAGCTCTTTTTTGGCTCCATATGAAATTTAAAGTAGTGTTTCTAATTGTGGGAAGAAAGTCAATGGTAGCTTCATGGAGATAGCACTGATTCTATAAATTACTTTGGGAGATATGGCATTCAGGCACAGAAATGTCCTTGTGTTAGGCAATACCATTCAGGACATAGGCATAGGCGAAGACTTCATCACTAGAACACCAAAAGCGATGGCAACAAAAGCCAAAATTGACAAATGGGATCTAATTAAACTAAAGAGTGTCTGCACAGCAAAAGAAACTATCATCAGAGTGAACAGGCAACCCTCAGAAAGGGAGAAAATTGTTGCAATCTATCCATCTGACAAAGGGCTAATATGCAGAATCTATAAAAACTTAAACAAATTTACAAGAAAAAAACAAACAACCCCATCAAAAAGTGGGCAAAGGATATGAACAGACACTTCCCAAAGGAGACATTTATGCAGCCAATGAACATGTGAAGCAAAGCACTGGTCATTAGAGAAATGGAATTCAAAACCATAATGAGATACAATCTTACGCCACTTGGAATGGCCATCATTAAAAAATCAGGAAACAACAGAAGCTGGAGAGGATGTGGAGAAATAGGAATGCTTTTACACTGTTGGTGGGAGTATAAATCAGTTCAACCATCGTGGAAGACAGTGTGATGATTCCTCAAGGATCTACAACTAGAAATACCATTTGACCCAGCAATCCCATTACAGTGTATATACTCAAAAAAATATAAATCATTCCAATATAAAGACACATGCACACGTATGCTTATTGCGGCAGTGTTCACAACAGGAAAGACTTGGAACCAACCCAAATGCCCACCAATGATAGACTGGATAAAGAAAATGTGGCATATATACACCATGGAATACTATGCAGTCATAAAAAAGGATGAGTTCATATCCTTTGCAGGGACATGGATGAAGCTGGAAACTGTCATTCTCAGCAAACTAACACAAGAACAGAAAACCAAACACCACATGATCTCACTCATAAGTAGGACCTGAACAATGAGAACACATGGACACAGGAAGGGAAACATCACACACAAGGGCCTGTCAGGGTGGGGGGCTAGAAAAGGGATGGCATTAGATCATGGGTTGGTGCATGCAGCAAGCCACCATGGCATGTGTATACGTATGTAACAAACCTGCATGTTCTGCACATGTACCCCAGAACTTAAAGTATAATTTAAAAAAAAAGAAATTTGCTTTTAATTAAGCTTTTCAACATAGAACTTGTAAAGAAAATACTTCTGAATCTTTTACTACCACATCATAGCTGGGACAAACTGCTGATATTTTAAAAGTAACACAAATATCAAACAGAAAGAACTAGACTTAGGAACCAAACTCAGGTTTCTGTAGTGAACAGGGCAGAATCTTAACTTTGGGTCGCCACCACTACTCCCTCAGTTTGGCCTTGGCTAGCAAAAGATGCAACCACTTATGTAAAAAATAAAAATAAAAAAGTTAAAAAAATCATTTCTGCTAACTGGAATTTTTTTTTTTTTTTGCAGCCACATGAGTTTTAGCCAATTCAGAAGCCTTGTTCCCCACAATTTGGAGCATTCTTTGGATTTCACCAAGTCAGGAAGAGATGGGAGAAAAGTGAAACAACAACAACAAAACCCCAAACATAAACAAACAAAAAGAGTTAAGCAAAACAAACAAATGCACAATTCATATGATTACTGAGTGTTCTAATGGTAACGAGAAATTAAAAGCAGCTGGTGAGTAATCTTAAATTTTAGTCATTAAGGAAAAATTTTAAGACAAAACTCTAATTCAGCTACTTACCTGGAAATAAGTCTCAGGCTGGTGATTGTTCTCTGCCATCTTAGAAGCTGGAAAAAACTTACACTCACCTTCCCTGTCAGAAGCAAGCTGAAACTCAAGAAAGGAGGTGCCTGCTCTCCATCATCACGGAAGCAGGAAAACTTGCCTTGTTGGAAATAAGTAAAACTTCAGAAAAGGAGTTGTATAGCAAAATCAACCTTAGATCTCAACCAAATTTTGGGAGATCAGGGATTCTCTGCAGGGGAGAAGCTCCCTAACCTCAGCACATTATCCTATTGGTTTGGGCAATAAAGATAGCCCAGGTTGGTATCAAGCAATAATGAGATTTATCAAAGGTCAGGACCACCTTTGTAATCTCCTTCTCTCTCTTTTTTTTTTTTTTTTTTTTTTTTTTTTTTTTTTTTTTTTTTTTTTTTGAGACGGAGTCTCACTGTCTTGCCTGGGCTGCAGTGCAGTGGCACGATCTTGGCTCACTGCAAGCTCCACTTCCCAGGTTCACACCATTCTCCTGCCTCAGCCTCCCAAGTAGCTGGGACTACAGGCACCCGCCACCATGCCCAGCTAATTTTTTGTATTTTTCGTAGAGACGGGGTTTCACCGTGTTAGCCAGGATGGTCTCGATCTCCTGACCTTGTGATCCATCTGTCTCAGCCTCCGAAAGTGCTGGGATTACAGGCGTGAACCACCGCGCCCAGCCCTCTGTCTTTTTTTTTTTTTTTTTAATCTTTATTGGTATAGTCTGCTTTGTCAGAAACTAGGAGTGCAACACCTGCTTTTTTCTATTTTCCATTTCCTTGAAATATTTTTCTCCATTCCTTTATTTTGAGCCTATGTAGGGCACTGCATGTGAGATGGGTTTCTTGAAGACGGCATACTCCAATGGGTCTTGGTTCTTTATCCAGCTTGCCCCCTGTGTCTTTCAATTGGAGCATTTAGCCCATTTCCATTTAAGGTTAGTAATGGTATGTGTGGATTTGATCCTCTCGTCATGCTGTCAGCTGGCTTTTTTGCAGACTTATGTATGTGGTTGGTTTTTAGCATCACTTGTCTGTGTACTTCAGTGTGTTTTTGTAGTGGCTGGTGGTGGTCTTTTCTTTCCATATTTAGTGCTTCCTTCAGGAGCTCTTGTAAGGTAGGTCTGGTGATAATGAATTCCCTCAGCATTTGCTTGCCTGAAAAGGATCTTGTTTCTCCTTCACTTATGATGCTTAATTTTGCTGGACATGAAATTCCGGGTTGAAATTTCTTTTCTTTAAGATGTTGAATATCTTTTCTGGCTTGTACAGTTTCAGTTGAGAGGTCTGCTAAGTCTGATGGAATTCCCTTTGCAGGTGATGTTGCCTTTCTCCCTAGCTGCCTTTAACACTTTTTCTTTCATTTTGACCGCAGAGAATCTGATGATTATGTGTCTTGGGGATGATCTTCTCATGGCATATCTTACTGAGGTTCTCTGGATTTCCTGAAGTTGAGTGTTGGCCTGTCTGGCTAGGTTGGGGACATTCTCATGAATGATATTCTGAAATGTGTTTTCCAAGTTGGTTCCATTCTCCTCATCTCTTTCAGGTACATTAATCAGTCATAGATTTAGTCGTTTATATAATCCCATATTTCTCGGATGTTTTGTTCATTCCCTTTCATTCTTTTTTCCCCCATTCTTGTTTGCCTGTTTTATTTCAGAAAGCCAGTTTCCAGATTCTGGGATTCTTTCCTCTTCTTGGTCTATTCTGTTGGATGGTCTTGCACATGAGATGGAGCTGGTCTGACCTCAGCCCTCCCTAGTCTGCTTGCCTCTCCCAGGACCCCAGCCTGGCCACATCTGCTTACAGGGCACTCTCAGGTGCCCACACATACTACAATAATTTTCATAATGCAATCACACACAATCACCGTGTGACTGCATTATGAAAATTCTTCTAGTGTGATTTACAGCTCTGTCAGGTCAGTTATTTTCTTCTTTATACTTGCTATTTTGTCTGTTAGTTCCTGCAATGTTTTACAATGATTTTTAGCTTCCTTGTATTGGATTACAACATACTTCTTTCACTCAGGGAACTTTGTTCCTACCCATATCCTGAACTCTGCTTGTATCATTTCAGACATCTCAGCCTCAGCCCAGTTCTGAACACTTGCTGGAGAGTTGATGCAGTCATTTGGAGAAAAGAAAGCATGCTGAATTTTTGAGTTTTCAGTGTTCTTGCACAGAGTCTTTTTCTCATCTTTATGGGCTTATCCACCTTCAATCTTTGAGGCTGCTGACCTTTGGACAGGGTATTTTTCCTTTATTATATCTGATGACCTTGAGGATTTGATTGTGGTGTAAGGTGGATTCAGCCAACAGGTTTTGTCTTTGGAGGATTTTAAGGGGCCAACATGCAGCTCCCAATTCTTGGACTGTGTGCTTTAACTCTGGGGAACTTGTATTGGGCCACAACTTTGTTCTCTGGCTCATCGAGGTTTGGAGTCCACCGCACTGAGGGGACCAAAGTGTGGCAGCTGTGGCAGAATGCTAGCAGATGCAAAAGTCCCTGCCTCCCTGTGGGCATTCACCTAGTGGTGGAGGCAAAACAGCTGGGGTGTGGGCCAGGGGGCCCCTGCTGACTGTGTGTGCTGTTGCACTGGAGGTAGTTCTGGTTTGGGGTGGGTGGCTGGCCAGTGAAGGTGCCTTCTCTGATCCCCCCCAAGCAACAGTGGTCACTCAGGGTATAAGAAGGTCCCTTTTCCTCTGCACAGCATTACCTCAAGGGTGAGATGCTAGCAGGGGTGGGGTTTTTGGTTCTGTGCCCACCATGGCTTCATCTTCAGTGGCAGTTGGTGTGGGTTGGGGTGTGTGCTGCATTCCCATATGCTGTTAGGGCAAGTACAACAAAACCCACCTGTGTAAACACACACAGCTAAGTGATGTAGGAAGTTTCCATATAAAGGGCTGCAGTATGGAGAGGTAATGTGCAGGCTGGTACGTGGCTGTAGAGGTCACCTTGCTGCAGCTCTCCACTGATCAGCCACGGTCTGCTTGTACAGAAGCTATGGTGTGGGCACCCAAAAGTGCCCTCTAAGCAGGTGTGGCCTGGCTGGGGTCCTGGGAGAGGCAAGCAGACTAAGGGGTGCTGAGGTCAGACCAGCCCCATCTCATGTGCAAGACTGCCCAGCAGAGATCAGGTCTCAGAGGAGAACTCTCTCAAAAGTGAATCCTCAGCACAGCACAACTGCTCTACACAAACGCGGCCAGACTTCTTTTTTAAGCAAGTCCCCCTTTTTAGGAAGAGAACTCTTAGACCTGATCTGTGCTGGGCAATCTTGCACGTGAGATGGGGCTGGTCTGACCTCAGCACTCCTTAAGTGCTGGGATAAAGTGTCTCATAAGAGCAAGTGGAGCCTAGAGACATAGATGTCCCTGCCCTCCAGGCTCCACATCAGCTGACTTGCTGCTCCACCACTTTCCTTGTCTCCTGGGGGCTACACCCCAGAGAGGTGTAAGTTAGGAGTTACTTAATGTAATCACCCCAGGATGGAGGGTCTGTGCTGTGGGCCCAAGCCAGGGTTCCTTGTCTGTTGATGAGCAGTAAGGGGTGTGTTGTACCCGTGGAAGATGGACTGACTTGTTCCTTGTGTCAACTGCAGCTTGTTGGAGGTGTCAATATGGCACTTAGGGTCTTTGCTCCCTTGACATTCTGAGGGTAGCAAGGGCAGTTCCACTGCAGAGGCAGTGGCAGAGAGGATTTCTGTTGCTCCTGGAAGCTCTGTCCAGGGAGTTGCTGAGTTGCTACTGGCTTGAAGGCTCAAGTGGGGGGCTGGCTGGAGACCCAGGCCAGGAAGACCTGCCCATCATGGCCCACCCCTCTCTCTGGGAACTCTGTCCCAGGAAGGTTTCAAATCTCCATTGGCCAGGGAACACTGGTGGGTGTAGCTGGAGGCCTCAGGTGGGAGATCCTGTCCAGTGACGAGGAACAGGATCAGGGGCCTGCTTACAGAAGCATTCTGGCCATGATTTGGTAAAGCAGCTGTGCTATGCCACAGGATCTCTTCTGTCCCTGGTGAGTTTGTACTCTCCAAAGCCCGCACGCTGGAATGACTAAGTTGCCCAAACAGGAAAGATGGTGGCCTGCCTCATCTTTTCTCTCAGAATTTATCCTGTGTGATGGAGCTTAATTTTTAGGTTGTTAATTTTACTGTCAGCGTTAGAGTTGTTCAGAAAGAATCTCACTGTTATCTTTTAGGTGAGATATATAAGAATTCATTTTCTCCTGTAAATAAACCTGTTGATGTTTGTTCTCTGGAAAGAAGTCCCTTTCAGCTATCTGACTTTGATCACAATCATGTAGAGCAGTAGTCAGTCTACAATGACATGATTGAATTTCCATTTCCAGTGTTTCCTAGCTGTGTCTTACATTCTCCAGTTCAGAACTGAGCATTCTCAGTTGTCAAAATCCTAAGCTGTCCACTGTACTTAAATACTGGTTTTCGTTAATGCTTCTTCATTCAGTTGTATAGCCTTTAGAAGTTTTTCTTTTACACTTTCAATTTCCTCCAAAATTTTATTTTCCCTTAGCTGGTTCTGATGTTTTGTTTCATCTAGTTCCAGTCTTAGCATGGCAATTTCTTCCCGCAACATGCTGTTTTCACGCAAGAGATCTTCTTCTTTCTTATGACTAAGAGAAAGCTAAGTAAACAAAGGGAACTTTTAGTTAGCACTCAATAGAATGACATATCATGATTTCTTCTAAAATCAAAGAATGACATTTATATTTGTATAATGAAATAATTCCCATAGTGGATATTTAACTGGAAAAAAGTTGGACAAAACTTCAAATCTAAAAGAGTGTAAATTCCAAAAAGTTGAAATATTTATCTAAAGACCATGAAAAATAAATCACTAGAGGATTTTTAAGAATTTCAGAATTGGGAAAGCCTTTCTCTGAATTACAAAAAACCCAGAGGCATAAAATAGAAGATTAATACATTTGGCTACATTTTTTAAATTGGGTTTACACTCTGATATCTAACCTACAAACCACACCATCATAAGAGCCTTAGCTATGCATATATTAGGACAGAAGCAATTCCTCAAAGTTCTTTAAGTTCCTTTTTCTGAGGAATGTTTTATCAATATACTGCTTTTCTAATATTTTTACAGTCAGTTATAAGAATTACATTTATTCATAACTGTTAAATCTAAGCGTTGTACCCTTCTACAATGTACACACCGGCATCTAAGCATTGCACTTCTACATACAACACTCAACTCATTTAAGATCACGATTCTTAAAAGGAGAGATCAAAAAATATATGCAGCCAGGACCAGTGGCTCACACCTGTAATCCCAGCACTTCAGGAGGCTGAGGCAGGAGAATCATGTGAACCTGGGAGGCAGAGGTTGCAGTGAACTGAGTTTGTGCCATTGCACTCCAGCGTGGGTGACAGTGCAAGACTCCATCTAGAATACACACACACACACACACACACACACATATATATATGCAACGTGCAAGATTTTTGCCAGGTCTTCTGATGCTACTGCTAGTGATCCTCCACAAAATCAGTTGCTTCTGTGGTGTAAATATATAAATACAAAAGAAGCCTTTTATTTCAAAATACAAATGATAAATAAGATATAACTTACAAGGCTTTTCTTAGAAATCATGAGATTATTTGCCATTGCAATAACTTTTCTTTCCTCTTCATAATGTTTGAAACATTATAGTAGTAAGTGTGAAATACGGGAAACGTACTGAACTATTCATCTGGGAACAAAATACTTATCAATAAATTATCACTAAATGTGTATCATGGCATGTCATTGTTTTCAAAGCTCTTTGCATTGAAATGAGAAACTACTCGGAGCAAACTGTTCCTCTCCTCAAAAGCAAGGATAATGACATCCACAATGTGGCCTCTGACCCAGCTGTACATTTCCTACTTTCCTATTAGTGAAAATAACAAACTGACTTCTCTATTAATATTTTAAAAAGAACTAATGTCCCAAAACTAGCAAATCTGTTGTTAGTAGCAAAACTTATTTTTGATATTGGAAAGATAATCAATTCTTATGAAAAATATCAAATGCTTTTCCTTTGGATTGAGGCCATTGTGAAGGTCACTACTCGACTGTTGCAGGCAAATGCAGTTGAATTAAGAACATGGCTTTATCCTATGTGTACATATATAGATATATGACCAAGGATATACAGGGGGTGTGTGTGTGTGTGTGTATATATACACACACACAGACACACACACACGTGTGTATATATATGATTTAAAAATCCTTTATACCTTCCAAAATAAAGCTTTTTAAAAATATACACACATATGAAAACATTTGATAATGACTAAAGAAAATACCTTAGAATTCATTTCCTTTTCAGCCACTTCTATCTGCTTTTGTTTATTAGTCAGAATCTCATCTTGTGATATTCCAGTGTTCTGTTCTTCAGAAAGTTGTTTCTGGGTATCATTTTGTTCGTCACTAGAAGAAATTTTAATTTTCATGAAATACTGGAGGTGTCCCTAAAATGATCTACAGGACAAGATGGCACCATCAGATGTCATTCACACAATGTATATCTGCACATTAATCCAAGACAAGGCAAAGGGGCCTCACATCTGTTAACCCTGCTCTCCCAGTCATGTTGGCACCAGGGACTAGTTTTGTGGAAGATAATTTTTCCATGGACCTGAGGTGGGGGATGGTTCCAGGATGATTCAAGCACATTACATACATTGTGCACTTCATTTCTATTATTACTAATATATAATGAAATAATTATATAACTCACCATCATGTAGAATCAGTGGGAGCCCTCAGCTTATTTTCCTGCAACTAGATGGTCTCATCTAGGGGTGACAGGAGATGGTGACAGATCATAAAGCATTAGATTCTCATCAGGAGTGAACAACCTAGATCCCATGCATGAGCAGCTTGCAATAGGGTTCAAGTCACACTCTTATGAGAATCTAATGTCACCGCTGATCTGACAGGAGGAGGAGCTCAGGTGGTAATGTGACAGAGAGTGGCTGTAAACAGATGAAGCTTCACTTGCTCATCTACCACTAACTTCTTGCTGTGTGGCCCAGGTCCTAACAGGCCAGGGACTGGTACTGGTCTGTGGCCTGGGGATTGGAAACCCCTGTGTTAACTCAAACTTTTTATGTTTATTTTTTGGAAACAGTTTCCACTTATATTCTTGATTCCTCTGTAATTTATAGACAAATTAGAAATTCCCTTTGGAACAAGACAGGGTCTAATATTGTGTTTTTAACATAGAACTTTGAATTAATTTTATCTGTGTATGAGAGAGAGATGTGAAATAAACTGATCATTAATCGCTTTCAATTTCACTTTTATTTCATGCTTATTAAGAAGAAAACTGGGAAGCCCTAGGCAGAGCAATTGGGCAAGAGAAATAAAGGGCATCCAAATTGGAAAAGAGAAAGTCAAACTCTCTCTTCACCAATGATATGATCTTATGCCTAGAAAACCCTACAGACTCCTACAAAACACTCCTAGATTTGATAAATGAATTTAGTAAAGTCTCAGAGGTTACAAAATATACAAATACCAATGAATAGTACCACTATACACCAACTACAACCAAGCTGAGAGTCATATCAAGAATCCAATCCTTTTTACAATGGCTGCAAAATAGTAAAATACCTAGGAATATACTTAATGAAGGAGGTGAGTGATCTATCAAAGGATAACTGGAAAACGCCACTGAAGAAAATCATAGATCATACAAATAAATGAACATACATTCTATGTTCCTGGACTGAAAGCATTGATATTGTGAAAATGCCATAGTGCCCAAAGTAGTCTACAGAGTCAATACAGTTTCTACCAAAGTACCAATGTCATTCTTCACAGAGTTATTTTAAAAAGCTGTCATTCATGTAGAACCACAAAAGAGCCTGAATAGCAACAGACATACCAAGAAAAAGGAACAAACATGTTGGCATCAAATTACCTGACTTCAACTCTAAGGCCACAGTAACAAACATCATGGTACTGGTATAAAAGTAGATACACAGATCAATGGAACAGAATAGACAACTCAGAAAAAAGGCCACTTACAACCAAATGATCTCTGAGAAAGGATACAAAAACATACACTGGAGAAAGTACACATTATTCAACAAATGGTGCTGGGAAAAAAAGATAGTCACATATAGAAGAATAAAATTGGATCTCTATCTCTCACCATGTAAAAAATTAATTCAAGATGGATTAATGGCCTAAACCTAAGACCAGAAGACATTAGCCTAGGCAAATAATTTATGATGAGGACCCTGAAAGCAAAAGCAACAAAAATAAAAATAAATAAATAAATAAATAAATAAATAAATAAAGACCTAATTAAACTAAAAAGCTTCAGCACAGCAAAAGAAATAATCATCAAAGTGAGCCAACCACCTATACAATGGGGAAAATATGGGCAAATTATGAATCTAACAAAGGATTAATGTCCATAACCTACCAGAAGCTCAAACAAATCAGCAGGAAAAATACAAACAATTCCATTAAAAAGTGGGCACATGACATGAATAGACATTTTTCAAAAGAAGATGTACAAATGGTGAACAAGAATATAAAAACATGCTAAATATTACTAATCATCAGGGAAATGTACAATAAAACAACAGTGAGATATCACCTCACTTCAGCCAGAATGGTCACTACTAAAATAAAAAAAACAGCAGATGTTGGTGTGGATGTGGTGAAAAAAGAAGATTTATACACTGCTGGTGGGGATACAAATTAGTACAAATCTATGGAAAACATTATGGAGAGTTCTGTTAAAGTAGATCTTACCATTCTATCCAGCATTCTCATTTCTGGATACCTACCCAAAATAAAAGAAATCATACTCTCAAAAAGACACCTATATACATATGTTTACTGCAGCACAATTCACATATGCAAAGATATGTTATCAGCCAGTGTCCATCAACTGATGAGTGGAATAAAGAAAATTATATATATATATATATATATATATATATATATATATATATATATATGTATGTATGTATGTATGTATACCTGAGACTGGGTAATTCATAAAGGAAAGAGGCTTAATTGATTCACAGTTACACATGGCTGGGAAGGCCTCAGGAAACTTACAATCATGGCAGAAGGTAAAGGGGAAGCAGGCAACTTCTTCAAAAGGTGGCAGGAGAGAGAGAAGTGAAAGGGAAAGAGCCCATTATAGAATTATCTGCTCTTGTGAGAACTCACTATCAAGAGAACAGCATGGAGGAAACCGACCCCATGATCCAATACCTCCCAGCTGGTCTTTCTCTCAACACCTGGGAATTACAATTTGACATGAGATTTGGGTGGAAACACAAAGCGAAACTATTGGGGGGGGGTGTATCCTTACTTTTAAAATATCAAAATGTCATTATTTATATTTCAAAAATAGCAATTTTTATTAGTAATGATTTTGTTTGAAAATAAAATGACCTGGTAAATTTTCTTCAATTTTAGCCTAGTATTTAGTCAAAATATAAAAAGCTGAATTTGCCAGCAGAAAACTGTAATTACTTTTAAATGAGGTAAAGATGTATAAGAATATCACTGTTATTGTACTGAGAAGAAAGTGAATGAGAAAAGGAATTTAAAAAGAGAGTATCACTACCATATACATACATGAACTGACAAAGAGATTAAAATCTCCTACTGGAGATTATGTTAGGACTTGAGCAAAAGCTTCTAAAAATACCAAAAACAGAAAGAAAATAATTAATTTTAAGGAATAAATTATACAGAGAAATATGTATTTTAAAAAAGGAAAACAGATCTTCCTGAGAGCTATTATTAACCAATTCATCTTGACCAAAATTTTAAAATGAAGTCTACAATTCTGGAATATAAAATACTTTCATTTTGAACATAGTTAATTGAAGGCAACTTTTATACAGAAAATTTTTGGTTAAAGTTGACTCTAACTTAGGAAAGAAATGACTTGTACCAATGGTAACAACAAGCCACCCAAAAGCCAGTTTGAAATCTAGTCAATCAATCAATGACCACTGCTCTTGCTCACCAACCAATATCAATGTGAGCAGCTTACTTCTGAAATACAGCCACGCAGCAGCACCTGCTCCACCAGAATAGACAGTGCCTGACCAGTATTCCTCTTACTATAGGAAGCAAAAAATTCCAACTCTGTATCTTTATTTCAAATACCAAAGGTTCATAATCCCTTGAAAAGAATTTGTAAGTCCATTAAATGTGCCACCCTAATTTTTTTTTAAATAAAATACTAGTGGCCAGGCGCAGTGGCTCATGCCTGTAATCCCAGCACTTTGAAAGGCCGAAGTGGGTGGATCACCTGAGGTACAGAGTTTGAGACCAGCCTGACCAACAGGGTGAAACCCCATCTCTATTAAAAATACAAATATTAGCCAGGCGTGGTGGCATGCCCCCGTAATCCCAGCTCCTTGGGCGGCTGAGGGAGGAGAAATGCATGAACCAGAAGGCGGAGGTTGCAGTGAACTGAGATCATACCACTGAACTCCAGCCTGGGGGATACAGCAAGACTCCATCTCAAAATAAAATAAAATACCAGTAAAGTTTGCAATTCCTCTGACTCAGTTTACCATAATTACAATTATGTTTACTAGTAAAAGAATAAATAGTGAATAACCACAATATTGGGCTTTTCTCTCTAAATAAAAAAATAATATAAAGAATGTAGCTTATTATAAAGAGCCAAAACAATTTTTAAAATGCATGTAATTACCGGGCAAAACTGTTAGAATGAACCATGTCAAACATTTTTAAAGTGAGAATTAATCAAACAATATATCCAGGATAAACTCCATTCACTCATTTAATAAGTATTTATTAGGTAGCTTCATCCAATATGCTAGGCCTTTTTCTAGGCAGTGAGGATATGGTAGTGAAAAATAAAAAACCCATTCATGAGAGTGAGAAAAACACACAATAACAACAGACAGATAAGGCAAAATATACAGTATGTTAGAGGAGAAAAACTAAAGCAGGAAAATGAAATGTTTATGTGTTTCATGGGGAGGGTGGTGGGAAAGTTGGGGTGGTCAGAAAAGTCCCTGCTGAGAAAGGGGATTTTTTTTTCTAATACAAAAAACCTTTTATTTGTATATCAAAGACTCTAAGAAATGACGACATAAGGTTAACGGCATTGATGTCAAGATACAAATGGGTTTGAAGTTAGAGATGTTAAATCACTTTGTTTCACTGAACCTTCCCTTCATTACGTTAGAGAGCATCCCTGGTAGGCACCCAATTGAACCTCAAGCATGACGCGTCTAGGTAGCACGCTGTTCTTCCTCAGAAAGTGGTTGTTCCTTAATGTCTTTCTTTTTACCCTTTTTCCTCTTCTTCTTAGAAAGGGGGTTTTAAATAAAGAACTGAAGGAATGGAAAGAGAAAGCTAGGAGGATAACTGGGGAAAAAGCATTCCAGACACAGGGAACTGCGAATCACAGAGGTGTGCCTGGCATCTTTAAGCACTAGGGGTAGATAAGGGACGGCAAGAATTCAGTTTGGCTGAAGCAGAGCAAGGGAGATAATTAGGAGGAACTTTGACACATACTCCGAGTGAAATGGGAGATAATCAGAAGGGCTGGGGCAGAGGAATGACACAATTTGACTTATGTTTTAAATACATCCACTGAGTTAAGAATTGATGAAAAGGGAAGTTTTTAAAAACCAGGACTATCAATTCCCAGTCTATGACACTCATCTAGACTGCAGATGAGGGTGGCTCAGATGTACAAGATATGACTGACTTCTGGACATATTCTTCAGGTAGACCTGACAAGATTTACTGAGAGATTAGATGTGAGGTGTCAGAGAGAGAGAGAGATGAGTCAAGAATGACACCGAGATATTTGGCAGAGCAACTGGAAGAGTTGCCCTTAACCAAAAATAGGAAAGACTACATGAGGTGCAGATTTCAGGAAGGACATCAGTAGCCCAATTTTGGATCTGACAAGTGTGTGATACCCAATAACTAACCAAATAGAGACGTCAAGTAGGCAGGCTGATATAGAAATCTGGAATTAAGGAGAAAGATCTGAGCTGGAGACATACATTCAGAAATCACTAGCATATACACAGTAGAAAAAGTCACGAGGGGCCAGGTGCAGTGGCTTACACCTGTAATCCCAACAGTTTGTGAGACCAAGGCAGACAGATCCCCTGAGGTCAGGAGTTTGAGACCAGGGTGGCCAACATGGGGAAATGCTGTGTCTACTAAAAATACAAAAATCAGCTGGGCACGGTGGCATGCACCTGTAATGCCAGCTACTCAGGAGGCCGAAGCAGGAGAATTGCTTGAACCCAGGAGGCAGAGGTTGTAGTGAGCCGAGATCACACCACTGAACTCCAGCCTGGGAGACAGAGTGAAACTCTGTCTCCAAAAAAGAAAAAGAAAAAGTCACAAGAAAGAAGACTGAGGAGTGAGCCCTGGGAAACAACAATGTCCAAAAGGAGAAAGATGAGGAGGAGCAAGCAAAACAGACCATGATGAATGGACTAGAAAGGCAGGAGGAAAAGCCTGAGGGAGTGAGGTCCTGAAAGCCAGTGAAGATGCCGTTAGGGAGGAGATGCCCTCCATTGGCTCAAATATTGCTGACAGATTAAATAAAATGAGGTGGAAGAAAAGTGCCTAGATTTATTACAGAAAAAAATTAGTGATAATCTTGAGGAAAAACAATGCTGGAGGACTACTGAAATTGAAGACTTACTGGCATGAGATCAAGAGTGAATGAAAAGAAAATTTGAGTTCGTGAGTGTAGACAGTTCTTTTAAGGACATCATACTTAGGAGTCATGGCTGAGAATGTTGTAATTTTCTTCCACAGTCATGGAAAAGTAATAGACAAATAGTTTCAAATTTTACATAAAAGGTGTAGTTTTCAAATTTTATATAACAATTATATATTTTAAAGCTTATAAAAATTATACACATGTGGCATTAAAAATGCCAGACCAAGGTGTTAAATCTTAAAACTATAGAACTAAAAGTTGCCTTGACCATTTCTAGATTACATAAGCCAATTATCATTTTGTTCATGCTTATACATAAAGACCAAGAAAAACTAAAAGTTTCAAGGAGAGTATTTCTTGCTTGATAAAAATCAGCCAATTCTAGGACAGTTGATGCTCATCGAATATACAAAGTAATTGATCACCATAAAATACTGAATTCTATTAACAGGAATAAAGTGGCAGAAATGCAGAAAATAATCTTATTTTACAAATGAAATTTTTAAAATTATATGAAGTCACTGTGGAAAAATATGGTGAGGTGAATACCAAAATATATCCTTTTCTCAAAGGAAAGATACTGTCACACATGCTGGGCACTTTTATAAATAAGTGTTACTGCATTAGCAGCACCTTCCTTTTAGCACAAGGGTCAGCAAATTAGCACCTGTGGGCCAAATCCAGGCCACTGACTGTTTTTGTAAGTAAAGAATCTTGGAACGCAGCCATGCTTATTCACTTTACAGTCCATAGAGTCAATTAGCTGGGTGTGATGTTGCACACTTGGGGTCCCAGCTAATAGAGAGGCTGAGGTGGGAGGAGGATCACTAGAGCCCAGAAAGTCAAGGCTGCAGTGAGCTGTGATCACACAATTGCACTCCAGCCTGGGCAACAGAGACCCTGTCTCAAAAAAAATAAATATATATAGTCCACAAAGCCTAAAATATTTACTAAATGGCTCTTTGCAGAAAAAGCTGGCCAGCTCCTGGTTTAGCAGATGAAAGATACTTTGATATATTTTAATAAAAGTTTTACCCAATATACTCAAATGTTTATATTAAATATAGGTCCCCATGTACAATCCCTTGGCAATATTCAGATTGAAGGTCCAATATTTTGGCACTCAGGCACTGACAACAAAAATTTAATAACTACCAATCTCGTTGCTAACAAGGTACAGTGTCAATGTAGCGTGTAGCTTCCATTTGCAACACAGCAGATATTACAAGAATTCTAACAAAATTATCTTAAGATGTGTTACCAAACTAAATGCTTTAAATACATTTTAATTGTGAAATAATCAGTATACTCTAGATCTAACCTCATTTGTAAAAAATGTTTGCATACCGTATTATTTTCTGGGTATGAAAATTGAGCCATTTCCTATTGGTAAGGATTTACTTTTGATAATGATAAATTCCTATTGATAAGGATCCATCTTTTTGATATAATAACGCTGTAAGAAATGTCCTTATACATAAGTATATATGTGACAAATCTATACAAATATCCTTAACATACATATATATACTTACTATGTTATATATGTGTGTGTGCAAATATGCTAATAAATTAATGTTCAAAATATATTTACCAACAGTGTATGAATTGTCTTTTTCAATGAGACCGTTTCCTTTGCAGCAACACACATGGAGCTGGAGGCCATTATCCTAAGCAAACTAATGCAGGAACAGAAAATCAAATGCCACATATTCTTACTCATTTGTGGGAACTAAACAATGAAAACTCATGGACACAAAGAGGAGAATAACAGACACCAGGGTCTACTTGAGGGTGGAGTGTGGCAGGAGGGAGATGACCAAAAAACTACCTCTCGAGTATTTTGCTTATTATGTGGCTGATGAAGTAATCTGTAGTCCAAACCTCCATGACACAGTTTACCTATATAATAAACCTACACATGAACTTCTGAAGCTAAAATAAAAGTTCATTAAAAAGAAAAGGAAATGCCTTTTCCCTCACATTTGCCAATGCCGGTTATTTTTCAAATAAATTAATGACTGGAAAAAACGGTAACTCATTGTTTACTGATTTTCATTTTTCTGATTAACAGGCAAGGCTGAATATTCTAGTAAAAGTATAAAATTTGTTCATCATGAAAGCCCAAATTAGGATTAGTTTGACAGCATATAGTTATCTCCTATAGGCTTACCTGTGATACTCTTCATTCTCAGTGTCAGGAAATTGCTGATTTTCAGGTTTTCTGCTCTTCCTTTGTGGAATTAATCCATCATCACCATTGCCAGCACTGGCACCATTAGTCAGGTTTTCTGGTAATCCCACAGGATTACTTCCATGCTTCTTTATTTCTTCTTCAACCTTGAGTGGAAGTTTGATATTAAGGATGGTTATCACTTTATTGAATAAAAATAACCTTTTTAATTGATTTTATCAATTGACTCAGTTTGCCATTATTTTAGTCATTAAAAATATTTCACACTTAAATTTGATCATATATACAGAACTATAACCGTATAATTTTAAGATGTAATTATCATGTCATTAGTATATCACTGAAATTTTTGTAGTTTGCTTGATTCCAGCTGTTTGACTGAATAAAACAGAATTTTCCAAAATTCAAAAAGGGCCCTCCTTCATTTTGTGCTTTTATTCCCAAAAACTCTTCAGAATCTTATATATGAATTTACCCCATTTGACTCGTGGGAACACAAAAATAAAACGACATAGACACAAAATGTGTCTTCTGTCTTTACCACCTAGATTTTACATTAAACACTCAGATGTAGAGGATGAGACACTGGGGGGCTTCAGGAATAGAAAGGAAGATGGCCCTTTTCTGCACTAAGATATTCTCCTCTCCCACTGCCTTTGATCGTTCTTTTTTCATTTGGTTCCTGGATATCAAAAACATGATGGTGCTCACTGAAACATGAAAACCAAAGTTTGCCACAACACAAGGAGCAGAGTGAAACTGCTGAGGTGCAAGCATGGAATTCCAGAAAATTAGATGCTCCCCAAATTTCACATTCAATAGCTATACAATTTTCCAGCTGGAAATTACAAAGAATAAGTAATTATCTTCTTTAGCCACATTATCTAGTGATAATCAGACTAAAACCAAGAAAGATAAAAGGATTGGTCCAAATCTCCTAAAGAGGCATTACCTAGCATTTTATGGCACCATTCAGGATTGTTCCATAATAATGAAAGAATCTCTCTAGGGTTTGTATCTCTTGAAAACTCAATGTACAGAATTCTTTCTGAGTTAAATATTAAATTTTTCACTGGTGATTTATGCTACTTACATGATAGGATCATGTATGCGTACACTTACTACACTTTGTTAAACAGCATAACATAAAAATCTAATTCCACAGAAACATTTGAACATAAAGGTATACCTCTCTATCACAGTCCTTATTTATTTCTGGTTCTTGAGACATTTTCTGCAGATGCAAAAATAGAAGGTTAATTTGCTTGTTGTATTTCCGTGTATGTCTCCTCTTTTGGAATGCATGTTAAAATAATTTTATTCTTAAGTAATCAAGTATGGACATGAAAAATTAGAAAATAAAATAAAATTTAACTTAAAATAATTAAATAAATAAATAATTAAAATTAA